>NT_167246.2:2923936-3056487 GCF_000001405.40 Homo sapiens
GGCCAGGATGGTCTCCATTTCTTGACCTTGTGATCTGCCCGCCTCAGCCTCCCAAAGTGCCAGGACTACAGGCATAAGCCACCACGCCCGGCCTCATATCTCTTAATAAGAGTTTTTCTAGAAACATTTCTCAATCACCCCAGGCATAATCATATTTTATTTCTCTACTTCTTTCTTTTTTTTTTTTTTTTGAGATAGAGTTTCGCTCTTGTTGCCCAGGCTGGAGTGCAATGGCACGATCTTGGCTCACCACAACCTCCGCCTCCCAGGTTCAAGCGATTCTCCCGACTCAGCCTCCCGAGTAGCTGGGATCATAGGCATGCGCCACCACGCCTGGGTAATTGTATTTTTAGTAGAGACGGGGTTTCTCCATGTTGGTCAGGCTGGTCTCGAACTCGTGACCTCAGGTGATCCGCCCGCCTGAGCCTCCCAAAGTGCTGGGATTACAGGCGTGAGCCACCGCGCCCATCCTTCTTTTTTTTTTTTTTTTTTTTTTTTTTTGAGACGTAGTCTTGCTCTGTCACCCAGGCTGGAGTGCAACCTCCGCCTCCCTGGTTCAAGGAATTCTCTGCCTCAGCTTCCCGAGTAGTTGGGATTACAGGCGCCCGCCACCACGTAGGGCAAATTTTTGTATTTTTAGTAGAAATGGGGTTTCATCATGTTGGCCAGGCTGGTCTTGAACTCCTGATCTCGTGATCCACCTGCCTAGGCCTCCCAAAGTGCTGGGATTACAGGCGTGAGCCACCGCGCCAGGCCTTATTTCTCTACTTCTATAATATCCTGTGCATTATCTCCAGCGCCTTCAAATCATAGTCATTGAATGATCTGTTGAATGGGTATAACTCTGATGGGAGCAGAGAGTTCTAGAATCGGGTAGTAAGAGACAAAGGAGGGTAACAGTACTGCATTTCACAAAATGAAACCCATTGTTAAGAAATTACAAATTCCCAATAATTTCAAATATAAAAATTTATTCATGAAAATTATAGGTTATAAAATTAAATGTCCGTCTTAGTCGATGGTTGCCCATATTTTGATGAACGAGTCATTCCTAGCCTATCTTTGTTCAAATGATTTGCATACATTATGCAAATAGGTAGAACTGCCCGAAGAATGCCTACGCTGCGTGGTGCGGACGAAACGCTTCCCGGGGCCTTTGGATTGGTCTGTCTAGCCACCTCATTTGCATGACGTAATATAATAACTGGAAGGCCCCGCCCCTCTGGTGCATTTCCCCGCTCCAACCACCTCCTCAAACTCACGGCAAAGGGATGCGAGAGCTGGAACTCTTACCAGGCCTGCGGAAACTCAGCCCTCCGGCAGCTAATCCCGCCCGCCAGCCCCCGTCCTCTCTCTCTTTCTCCCTAGCTGAAGGCGCCACGGGCCGTGTGTCGTTGCCTTCCACTTTTGGCGTCCCAACGTCTCTCCGCTCCCATCTTTCTACTAACGTCCGACGCACGCTCCGCCTCTTTCTCCCACATTCGTCGTGTAAATTCTGCGTCCCAACCGCCCAGCCGACCTGCACCGCATTCCCGCCCCCTCAACACGGCTCAACGGCCGACGCTGGGGGCCCGCCTCCTTAGCCAATCGGGGTCCTAGTGCCCTTAAGTCCCTCCTCTTTATGCAAATAACCTCCGCATGCTCCGCGCGCCCGGCCCTTTTTTTTTTTTTTTTAAACTAAAGACAGCCCTGGAAGTAGAGGGTTAGGGTAGAAAGTGCCCCGCCCTTTATGCAAATTAAGGGGCGTGTCTAGGCGCGGAGGGAGGTGGGAGGTGGGAGGGGGTGCTCCCGGGGGCGGCGGTTGCCCGGATGGGCCGTTAGTCGGGGCTCAGCCGCGGAGTGAGCGAGGGAGACGGGAGGAGCCGAACCCGGCGCCATCCGCCGCCATCCTCCCCCGCCCCACCGCCATCCCGTCCCGGGGAGCCCCTAGGCCCGGGTCCCGGATCCCCGCGCACCCGGCCAGGTGAGTCTGGGTGAACCGTGCGCTGACGCCCTTTTCCGGCGCGGGAGAGGCGGTGGCGGTGGCGGTGGCGGCGGCGGCGGCGGTGGTGGGCCGGGGGGAGGAGAAGCTGCCATTAGCCGCCGCCATTTTGTCCTCCTGCTGCCGGGCCTGCTTGCCCCTCCCCCTCCGGTACCTCTACTCCGGGACCCGCACCTCCGGCAGTTCATTCAGGATCCGTAGTCTGCCCCTAACCACCCACCGTCTTGGCTTCAGGGGGTGACCCCTGCGCCTGGGTCCGTAACTCCCTACCCTCCGCTGCGCTCCTGGCTTTTCACCCCCATTTGTGGGCCCCCTCCCCGGCTGCCGCCCCGTGGTGGGCCGCGCCCGACGGTTCTCTCGGAAGGGCGCTTTTCCTCCATATTGGACCCCCTCCTATCATCCAGCGCTGTGTTCCCCCCTCTGGACGCCCCTCTTCGTGTCGAGCCACTCCCACTCTAGAATCCTGCTTTTATCCCAGCATCTTTGCTTTCTATGTTGCTCAGTCGCCCTATGTCTGCTTTTTCATTTTTCCTGTTCCTCGTCTCCTTTCTCCCCCAACCCCGTTTTTCTTCTTGGGCCTCTGCCCCCTTACTTCGTTGTCTACATCCTTTTTTTTTTTGCCATTCCTGTTTCCATATATTTTCCACCTGCTTTCGTATTCATTATTTTCTGTTAGTTTTGGTCTATTCGCTACATGACTCTTGTATTCGTTTTCCCTTCATATATTTATCTTCACAGATTGGCCTCCTCAAACACCTACGAAGCAACATCCATCTTATCTCTAGCTTGTCATAAAGTTCTTTCTCCCCAATTTTAGCTTTCATTCTGGGCCTGTCTGGATTTCCCTGCTTTCTTCCCCACTATTTCTCATCTCTTTACACTGTTCCCGTCCATAAACGAATGCCTGGTCACTCTGGAATGGACTGAGAGACCTGTCGTCCGGCTTGCTTAGGGAGCTGGAGGTATCGAGTAAAGAAACACTGGTGATGGACATTTTTAATGAGGATAGGAAAACGAAGATGGCTCTGGCCTTGGCCCTCTGTTTTCTGGCCCATGGTTACAGGGTGCTAAGGTGGCTCCATAATGCTTTTTCTCAGTTCTTCATATGGTAAAACAGTATTTCATCTGGAGGCGATTTTTTCCAGGAGCCAATACAGGAGCAAGTTTAGGAAAAGATGGGATATTTCAAATACTTGAGGTTCCTATAGCCTGGGAGTATGTACAGCCCTAGTTGTTCTATGAGGATTTCTCTGGTACCAACCCCCATTCCGGCTGAGCAAGCTCATAAAATCCTTAAACTCCCAGCATACCTTCCTGCAAACCTTCCCAGATGGACACGAGGCTGCTGGGCTGGGAGCCTGGGGTACAGGGCCCTGGGGGCATGATTAGGGAGCTTGTGTCCAATAAACAGGGAATCTAAAGTGTTGTTTCTTCTTCTCTGATGGAATTGTATGCTTCTTTTTTAGTTTTCTCTTGCTTGAATTTGTCCTGTTGTAAGTCTCTGAAACGATTTTGGTGGAGAGAGAAGAGATTATTACTTGTAGGGAATTACTCTTTGTAGACAGGCACAAAGGGCAGAGTGTTTATACTAGGAGGATGCTGGATTTTTACTTAGATTTCCTTGACAAAGGTGTCTGGGGGAAAGGAGGGAACATGGCATTTGAGCTATGAGGGAGCTAAGTAGATCATGGTTGCTTAAGAAGAGTGGGCAGTTTACATAGACTGGAGGAAAAGACACCAGAGGGCCTCATATCTGAGTCCCTAATGATAATGCAATGGAGTTTTTAAGTTTCTGTTATGGTCTGTACAGGGGACAGAGACTGAGACACTTGCTGTCTGGCCCACAGGCTCTGGCACGTTTTGGGGGAGGTGCCTGCAGGACCCAACATACTCAATGAGCTTCCAGCGCAATGTCCGATCGCTCGGGGCCGACTGCCAAGGGAAAGGATGGAAAGAAGTATTCCTCGCTCAACCTGTTTGATACGTATAAGGGCAAGTCCTTAGAGATCCAGAAACCCGCTGGTGAGAGTCCTGCAAAGATGCTTCTGATGGTTGAAAGCTAGGCATGCATGGGGCATACGTTTTAGAGCTCTTTAAAGGGAAGTGGCTGTAGTAGAAATACCAAAAGACTAGAGGAGATTTCCCAACTTTACACTGGGTCCTTTAAAGGGGGTGTGGGCTCTGGGTGAACACCAGTTATCCTCCTACAAAGGCGTGTCTGTGGTTCCCTGTCTTTGGACACGTAAGAATTGGAGGAAAATAAATGTGGATTTGGGAAACTTTGAGGCCAGCTTGCTTCTTGCAGGCTCATGATCAACCAATCTCACATAAAAGTATTGAATGTTACATATCTCAGCCTTCTTGATAGGGATTTCATAGATTTTTTTTTTTTTTTTTTTTTTTTTTTTGAGACCAAGTTTAGCTCCTGTTGCCCAGGCTGGAGTGCAATGGTGTGATCTTGACTTACCACAACCTCCACCTCCTGGGTTTAAGCGATTATCCTGCCTCAGCCTCCTGAGTAGCTGGGATTACAGGCATGCGCCACCACACCCGGCTAATTTTGTGTTTTTAGTAGAGACAGGGTTTCTCCATTTTGGTCAAGCTGGTCTTGAACTCCTGACCTCAGGTGATCCGCCTGCCTCGGCCTGCCAAAGTGCTGGGATTGCAAAGTGTGAGCCACCACAATCAGCGCGATTTCAGAGATTATTAAGGGCAGGGGAAGGAATCCCTTCTAAGAGAAGTTTGGAGGAAGTAGGTAATAAAATATTCAACATGTATAAATGTGTCCCAGGATAGGAGGCCATCAGATCTCCCACATGAGGCATTTTCGACCCTCTCTCCGTCTTGTTCTCCAGTTGCCCCTCGCCATGGCCTGCAGAGTCTCGGGAAAGTTGCCATTGCCCGGCGTATGCCACCTCCAGCCAACCTTCCAAGCCTGAAAGCCGAGAACAAAGGCAATGACCCCAATGTCTCACTAGTGCCAAAAGACGGAACAGGATGGGCAAGCAAACAGGAGCAGTCCGACCCCAAGAGGTAGACAGAGGCTTGGGGGACCTAGAGTGATGGGTATTTTAACTTGAACTTCAGGGAGCATTGGGGCTTGGTTTAGTCCAGCCACGTCTGAGCCAGAGACGAAGAGGTCCCTTTCTTACCTATTGCAGGTTCCTTGTTAAATGACTAAGGAATGGTACTAAACTTTAGCTTTTTGTCTTGGAGAGAGAGCATGAAAAAATAGACAACAGCCTACAAAGGATGACAAAATTAATTTGTCCTTATATTTGTAAATGGTAGCAATGGGCATGATTTCAGTCCTGAGTCTCCACCAGTTGGAGAAGTCAGGGAGGCATCTCAGGTGTGAATAACCTTCCCATTCTGTCCCCTCAGTTCCGATGCCTCAACCGCTCAGCCGCCGGAATCGCAGCCACTGCCGGCTTCACAGACGCCTGCCTCCAACCAGCCGAAACGACCCCCAGCAGCCCCCGAGGTACCTGGAGAACTGGAGGGGTGGGGAGGAAGAATGGTTCATAGCTGCCCCACCCACATCATTTATCATCTTTCTGAACACTTCCCCAGAACACTCCTTTGGTTCCAAGCGGGGTAAAGTCCTGGGCACAAGCCAGCGTCACCCATGGAGCACATGGAGATGGTGAGTGCAGCACTTAATTGGGGAGCTGTGTCTGGGCACCATGGGATGCATGAACCCTGCACTGTATTTTCAGCCAAGTGACCTTGGTCCTCTTTGGCTAAATCAAGGACCACCCATATTCAGTTTCATGGAGGCACATGAGCAAGTTTAAGTCTCAGTCTTATATGATGGAGTGTAGTGGTGCCAGAACTGACCTCCTTGGGGAATAAGCAGTTATTCTGTAGGGGGGTGAGTTTGAAGGCGGGAAACCTGATGGTCTGGTACCTGTCAGAGCCTTCCACTTTTTTTTTTTTTGAGACGGAGTCTCATTCTGTCACCCAGGCTGGAGTGCAGTGGCGCAATCTCGGCTCACTGCAACCTCTGCCTCCTGGGTTCAAGCGATTTTCCTGCCTCAGCCTCCAGAGTAGCGGGACTATAGGCACACGCCAACACACCCAGCTAATTTTTTGTGTGTTTTTAGTAGAGATGGGGTTTCACATGTTGGCCAGGATGGTCTCGATCTCTTGACCTCGTGATCCGCCCGCCTCAGCCTCCCAGAGTGCTGGGATTACAGGCGTGAGCCACCGCGCCCAGCCAGAGTCTTCCACTTTTATAGCATGTCCTCAGGAAATGTCTTCTGTCTCCTGTTCTGCATCCCCATCCTAATAGGTGGAAGGGCATCAAGCCTACTGTCACGATTCTCTCGAGAGGAATTTCCGACCCTGCAGGCGGCTGGCGACCAGGACAAGGCTGCCAAGGAAAGGGAGTCTGCCGAACAGTCGTCTGGGCCCGGACCAAGCCTCCGCCCCCAAAGTGAGTGGCTGCCTTTTGGCCAAGACATTACCTATTGCATCTCAGAGCTAGGTGCTGGCTTATTCACCTTCCTCCCCATCACTTTCAGCTGTGTTCACTTGTCCTCCAATCATTGATACCTCTCTCTACCTTTTCCAAAATACAGATTCTACAACTTGGAGGGACGGAGGTGGGCGTGGCCCTGATGAGCTGGAGGGCCCGGACTCCAAACTTCATCATGGTCATGATCCCCGGGGTGGGCTACAGCCTTCAGGCCCACCCCAGTTCCCTCCCTACCGCGGAATGATGCCGCCTTTCGTGAGTCTTGGTGTCTTGTCTTGGAACGATTACACTGGAAGCTGGAGAGCTAGGAATCAGGACTTAGTCTTTGACCTATGAGATAGAAGGGAGGGTGGGAGGATGATTGATAGCAGGCTTAAGGAGCTAGAAGGGTATATGACTGTCCCTCTGAGCAGCTACTGTTGGACCCTTTTACAGATGTATCCCCCATATCTCCCGTTCCCTCCGCCCTATGGACCCCAGGGGCCTTACCGATACCCCACTCCTGATGGGCCCAGGTGAGCAATCCAGGTCTGGGTTTGTGGCTGGGGGCAGGGGAAGCTTATTGGGGGAGGAGATGGTTTTCTAGCCAGGAGGCTCAGTCTAGGATCAGTCTCGCATGTGGTTATACAACATGCCATATTTCATTTTCTTTTTTGTGTACAGCCGTTTTCCCCGTGTGGCGGGCCCCCGAGGCTCAGGGCCACCAATGCGCTTAGTAGAGCCTGTGGGTCGTCCCTCTATTCTCAAAGAGGATAATCTCAAAGAGTTTGATCAGTTGGATCAGGAGAATGATGATGGTTGGGCAGGTAAGTGGATATTAAGGGTCAAGAATTTGGATCTTGAAAGGCAAAACCTAATGAGGAAAAAAAAATACAGGGTTATGTGGGTGAAAGGCAGACATTGAAGTGTAGGAAGACCAGGCCCAATGGCTCACATCTGTAATCCCAGTGCTTTGGGAGTGTTAGGTGAGAGGATCGCTTGAAGCCAGGAGTTCAAGACCAGCCTGGGCAACACAGCAAGACCCCCCACCTCTACAAAAAAAAAAAAATTTTTTAGTTGGGTGTGGACTGTGCATCTGTGGTCCCAGCTACTCTGGAGGTTGTGGTGGGAGGATCAGTTGAGCCCAGGAGTTGGAGGTCACAGTGAGCTATGATCGTGCCACTGAACTCCATCCTGGGCAACAGAGCGAGACTTTTAAAAGGAAAAAAAAAAAAGAGTAGGGGAGGATGGATGGGGAATACCAAGTCCTTGCAAAGTGGTGAGAGGAGTAAGAATGACAAGACTTCATTGGTGGATCTAGACTTCGGAGGGAAGGATATTGGCATTGGTAGTCCATCTTGTTACATAGTTCCAGACTACCTCCCAAGATTGGAGGGCAGAATGCTTGGGTTACTAATACTCATATTTCCCCTCAGGGGCCCATGAAGAGGTTGACTACACTGAAAAGCTCAAGTTCAGCGATGAGGAAGATGGGCGAGACTCTGATGAGGAGGGAGCTGAGGGCCAGTGAGTTAGGGCCATCAGGGGAGAAGAGGAGGGGGTCTTGGTTTGTATTTTGGTAATATACTCTTAGAGGAGTATATTAGTTGCAGCTGATTTTAATTTCACTGTTGATCTGCTCACAGCAGGGATTCCCAATCAGCTTCTGGTGAGGAACGGCCCCCTGAAGCAGATGGCAAAAAGGGCAACTCCCCCAACAGCGAACCGCCCACTCCTAAGACGGCCTGGGCAGAAACCTCTCGGCCTCCAGAGACAGAGCCGGGACCTCCTGCCCCAAAGCCTCCCCTACCCCCACCTCACCGGGGCCCCGCCGGGAACTGGGGCCCCCCTGGGGACTACCCAGTGAGTGTCTCCAATAAGGGATTGAGAGGGTCAGCTGTGGGAAATTGGTGTCAGCTGAGTAATTGAAGCGGTTGTGATATAGAGGAAGGGGGGTGCTAAAAATGGGCTGTGTGAAGTGCCAGGCTGCAGAACATCCTGGGAAGCTTTTAAATATCTTTGGTAATAGGGGAGTCTGGGTAAGAAGTGAGAAACTGGGATGCTAATGAGGAAAGAAGAAAAAGGAGCCCTGGGTGTTTGGGTTTCGGAAGGAGAGAGGGAACAGAAAAATAAAAAGACTAGGGTGGCTAGATAGCTGGATCTGTTAGTATGCATCAGTAGTCCAAGCTACTCAGCAGGCTGAAGCAGAAGGATCACTTGAGCCCAAGTTCAAGACCAGCCTGGGCAACATAGCAAGACGTGGTCTCAAAGAAGACCAGGATAATGAGTTTGTCACCACCCAGAGAGATCAACCCCAAAGCCTGGGTCGTTGCATCCTGCAAGTAGCGACAGTTGATTTGTTGTAAAAGAGATGATAGAAAGCATAGTAACTGATTCCCCTGGCCCTGCTGGGTCTTGCCAATTGACAGGATCGTGGGGGTCCTCCCTGCAAGCCCCCAGCACCTGAAGATGAGGATGAGGCATGGCGGCAGCGACGAAAGCAGTCGTCATCTGAGATTTCCCTGGCAGTGGAGCGGGCCCGGCGACGGCGAGAAGAAGAGGAGCGGCGCATGCAAGAAGAGCGCCGGGCAGCCTGTGCTGAGAAGCTCAAGCGACTCGATGAAAAGTTTGGGGCACCTGACAAGCGGCTCAAAGCAGAGCCTGCTGCCCCACCTGCTGCCCCTTCTACCCCAGCTCCACCACCTGCAGTCCCTAAAGAACTCCCTGCACCTCCAGCTCCACCTCCAGCATCAGCCCCAACACCAGAGACAGAACCTGAAGAGCCAGCACAGGCCCCTCCTGCCCAATCTACTCCTACTCCAGGTGTGGCTGCGGCTCCCACTCTGGTGAGTGGTGGTGGCAGTACCAGTAGCACCAGCAGTGGCAGCTTCGAAGCCAGCCCAGGTATGGAGATGGGGATAGGTACTACCAGATGTCAGATCACTGCTTCAAGGTGCTTAAAGGTGCAGGGTGGTAAGGCTGGGGATAAATGAAGTAGAAGGCAGTTGTTTTGGTTTATTGGACTATCAGTGATAGTGTTCTATCATTTGTATATCTGAAGGAGGGAAGGTTTTGTCTGGAATCTTAGGTTGTAGTCTAATACCATTTCTTGGCAGAGTACTGTAGCTCACGCCTATAATCCCAACACTTAGGGAGGCTTGGGGTGGAGGATCGCTTGAGCCTAGGGAGTTTGAGACCAGCCTGGGCAACAAAGCAAGACCCTGTCGGCCAGGCATGGTGGCTCACACTTGTAATCCCAGCACTCTGGGAGGCCGAGGCGGGCAGAACATGAGGTCAGGAGTTCAAGATCAGCCTGGCCAACATAGTGAAACCCGTCTCTACTAAAAATACAAAAATTAGCCAAGTGTGGTGGCATGTGCTTGTAGTCCCAGCTGCTTGGGAGGCTGAGGTAGTAGAATCGCTTTAACCCGGGAGGCAGAGATTTCTGTGAGCCAAGACCATGCCATTGCACTCCAGCCTGGGTGACAGAGCAAGACTCTGTCTCAAAAAAAAATCCTGTCTCACAAGAAATACATAAATAAAAATGAAAACTATTTCCTATAGGCCAAGACTGAAGAAAGTACTGTTGTTCTAATGGTTTCATAGAAAGTTAATGCCACCACCATAGGCTCATGAGAGGCCATGAAGTGCTTTAATGGGTCTTAAATGGGAGGGGCTTCAATAGAATAGATGTTGAATAGAATATTTTAGTCTTAAGGGAGCTAGAGATGAGACGTGAGATTCCTGGGGTGTTCATGGAGTGTCTATTGTTGGACTAGATCACTCTGTTGTGTTTTTTCCGATGCAGTGGAACCACAACTGCCCTCAAAAGAGGGTCCTGAACCACCAGAAGAGGTTCCTCCTCCTACCACACCCCCAGTTCCAAAGGTGGAACCCAAGGGTGATGGGATTGGTCCCACCCGCCAGCCCCCTAGTCAGGGCTTGGGCTACCCCAAATATCAGAAGTCGTTGCCTCCTCGTTTCCAGCGGCAGCAGCAGGTGAAATCAAGTTGTTTACCCTCTAAGGGCTGCTTTTCTTCCTGGCTTCGGTCCCTAATTCTCTTCATAAGTTACCTTCTGGGTCCCTTTGCTTCTTTGTCCAGTTGTCTCCATTGTCACGCCAATTTCCCCTAGTCCAAGTTTTTTCTTTGCTGATTCCTTTGTCCATGTGTGCTTTGAGCCTCTCTCATCTTGTCTTTCCTCCTTTCCTAGGAGCAGCTCCTGAAGCAGCAGCAGCAGCACCAGTGGCAGCAGCATCAACAGGGCTCTGCCCCTCCTACCCCAGTGCCCCCATCACCACCACAGCCTGTGACCCTGGGGGCTGTGCCAGCTCCACAGGCTCCACCCCCGCCCCCCAAGGCCCTGTACCCAGGTGCTCTGGGCCGGCCCCCACCCATGCCCCCAATGAACTTTGATCCCCGATGGATGATGATTCCTCCTTATGTGGACCCCCGGCTCCTCCAGGGTCGTCCCCCTCTAGACTTCTACCCTCCTGGTGTGCATCCCTCTGGTAAGGGGGCATGGGAGGAGTGAGAAACAGGAAAGTCCCCTCAGTCTTAGGCATTGGATATTAGGGTCTTACTGTGACTCTGGTACGATAGGTTTTGCCCATCATAGTGATGAGGGAAGGGCATATGCTTGGCACTGCTGAGATAGCTCTGTTGCAAAAATGGGCTTAGTTAAGAAATAAGCAGTGGTTGGCCAGGCATTGTGGCTCACGCCTGTAATCCCAGCACTTAGGGAGGCCGAGGTGGGCAGATCAACTGAGTTCAGGAGTTCGAGACCACCATGGCTAACGTGGTGAAACCCCATTTCTACTAAAAATACAAAAAAGTAGCCGGCGTGGTGGCGCTCGCCTGTAGTCCCAGCTACTCGGGAGACTGAGGCAGGAGAAACGCTTGAACCCAGGAGGTGGAGGTTGTAGTGAGCCGAGATTGTGCCATCGCACTCCAGCTTAGGCAACGAGCGAAACTCCGTCTCAAAAATGAATGAATGAATAGCACAACTCCATCTCAAAAATGAATGAATGAATGAAAGAAGCAGTGGTCCTTCATTTGCCAGGATTTATTTGGGGTGGGTTGATTCTCTTGTAGGGAATCTGAGTGGATAACCTTGTTATATAAGAGCAGGCAAGGCCCGGACCTACTGGGAACAAGAGATGGAAGAGCTGACTTGACCGCGAGGGGAGATGCTTTTTGGGCTGGAGGGCTTGTGACATGAATAGGATTATTTTTCTTTTTCTTTGGTTTCTTCAGGCCTAGTTCCCCGAGAGCGTTCAGACAGTGGGGGCTCAAGCTCAGAGCCATTTGACCGTCATGCACCTGCTATGTTACGGGAACGGGGCACTCCACCGGTGGATCCAAAGTTGGCCTGGGTAGGAGATGTCTTCACCGCCACACCCGCTGAACCCCGCCCACTTACCTCACCTCTGCGCCAGGCTGCGGATGAGGATGACAAGGGGATGAGGTGAGTCTTGGTCATGAGAAATGGGTGAGTTCACAGTGAAAGGATCTAGGCCTGGGAGAAAGGTACTTTGGGTTAGTGGTAGGGATAGGGATGAACGGGAAAGGAGAGGCTGGATGGAGTGGCTCATGCCTGTAATCCCAGCATTTTGGGAGGCTGAGGCAAGAAGATTGCTTGAGCCCAGCAGTTCGAGACTAGCCTCGGCAACTGGATGCCATCTCTGCCAAAACAAACAGAAAAATAGTAAAAGAGAGTCTGCATCATAATAAAGTGTTCTTTTCCCACCTAGTTCTGGTTTTCCTGAGATACTTATTTCCATTCTTTCTGTCTGTCTCTTCAGGAGCGAGACTCCTCCAGTACCTCCCCCACCACCCTATCTGGCCAGTTATCCAGGCTTTCCTGAGAATGGAGCCCCTGGGCCCCCAATCTCTCGCTTTCCTCTGGAGGAACCAGGGCCCCGTCCACTCCCCTGGCCCCCAGGCAGTGATGAAGTGGCCAAGATACAAACTCCACCACCCAAGAAGGAGCCCCCTAAGGAGGAGACTGCACAGCTGACGGGGCCAGAAGCAGGCCGAAAGCCTGCCCGCGGAGTCGGGAGTGGAGGCCAGGGCCCCCCACCACCACGCAGAGAGAGTCGCACAGAGACCCGCTGGGGCCCTCGTCCAGGGAGCAGTCGTCGTGGAATCCCTCCAGAGGAGCCAGGGGCCCCACCCCGCCGGGCTGGGCCTATAAAGAAACCTCCACCACCTACAAAAGTAGAAGAGCTGCCTCCCAAGCCCCTCGAACAGGGGGATGAAACCCCCAAACCCCCAAAGCCAGACCCACTCAAGATAACCAAGGGGAAGCTAGGGGGCCCCAAGGAGACCCCACCCAATGGAAATCTTTCCCCTGCCCCAAGGCTTCGGAGGGACTATTCGTATGAAAGAGTGGGTCCTACCTCTTGCCGGGGTCGGGGCCGAGGCGAGTATTTTGCCAGAGGGAGGGGTTTTCGGGGGACCTATGGGGGACGAGGGCGGGGAGCCCGAAGCCGGGAATTCCGCAGTTACCGAGAGTTTCGAGGAGATGATGGGCGTGGAGGTGGGACAGGGGGACCAAACCACCCTCCTGCTCCCCGAGGCCGCACTGCCAGCGAGACACGGAGCGAGGGTTCAGAGTATGAGGAAATCCCCAAGCGGCGCCGGCAGCGGGGCTCAGAAACAGGCAGCGAGACCCATGAGAGTGATCTGGCTCCTTCAGACAAGGAGGCTCCCACACCCAAGGAGGGAACACTCACCCAGGTCCCTCTCGCTCCCCCACCACCAGGAGCCCCACCTTCACCAGCCCCAGCCCGCTTCACTGCCCGGGGTGGGCGAGTCTTCACTCCCAGAGGGGTGCCATCTCGCCGGGGCCGAGGAGGAGGGAGGCCCCCTCCTCAAGTTTGCCCAGGCTGGAGCCCTCCAGCCAAGTCTCTGGCTCCCAAGAAACCTCCCACAGGCCCTTTGCCACCAAGTAAGGAGCCTTTGAAAGAGAAGTTGATCCCAGGGCCTCTGTCCCCTGTGGCGCGCGGAGGCAGCAATGGAGGTAGCAATGTGGGCATGGAAGATGGGGAGCGACCCCGAAGGAGGCGACATGGGAGGGCTCAGCAGCAGGATAAACCGCCTCGTTTCCGGAGGCTGAAGCAGGAACGGGAGAATGCCGCAAGGGGGTCTGAGGGCAAGCCCTCCCTAACCCTTCCAGCCTCCGCTCCTGGACCTGAGGAGGCCCTCACAACAGTCACAGTGGCCCCAGCACCTCGCCGGGCAGCTGCCAAGTCTCCTGATCTGTCAAACCAGAACTCAGACCAAGCCAATGAGGAATGGGAGACTGCATCAGAGAGCAGTGACTTCACCAGTGAGCGCCGAGGGGACAAAGAGGCACCCCCACCAGTACTGCTGACACCCAAGGCTGTGGGAACTCCTGGGGGAGGTGGAGGTGGAGCCGTACCAGGTATTTCAGCCATGTCCCGCGGAGATCTGAGCCAGAGAGCCAAGGATTTGAGTAAACGGAGCTTCTCAAGTCAGCGGCCAGGCATGGAACGGCAGAATCGGCGCCCTGGCCCAGGGGGCAAGGCTGGCAGCAGTGGCAGCAGCAGTGGAGGAGGCGGTGGGGGTCCTGGAGGAAGGACCGGGCCAGGACGAGGCGACAAGAGGAGCTGGCCCTCTCCCAAGAACCGAAGGTGGGTAGGAACAAACAAATTTATTGTGGTTTAAAAATTGGAGGAGGGGGAAAAAGCCTGAGGGAAAGATAAGTTTGGGTGGAGTGGAGATTGTGGCCTGAGGGGCCATGGGCTCTAGAATGTCAGTAGGATTTCCATGTCTGGCTAAGGCAACTGGAAAGCGGTTGGTAGGGTGTTAGAGTCAAGAACACCCACCTATGTATTCATTGCTGGTTCTTTGCTTTCCAGTCTGTGCATCTGTATGCATAGGAATCCTTAGAAGGACTCAAAAACACCTGGACTTTAATAGGGAAGAGAATAGGTTGTAAGCAGAAGTTGGGAAACATAACTTGTGGGAAAAAGTAACGATTTAGTGGATACTGGAGCTAATGCTCTGTTTTCTCCAGTCGTCCTCCAGAGGAGCGTCCCCCGGGGCTTCCCCTGCCTCCCCCACCTCCCAGCAGTTCTGCTGTCTTCCGCCTGGACCAAGTTATCCACAGCAACCCTGCTGGCATCCAACAGGCTCTGGCCCAGCTTAGTAGCCGTCAAGGGAGTGTAACTGCACCAGGGGGTCATCCAAGGCACAAGCCTGGGCTTCCCCAAGCCCCTCAGGGCCCCTCTCCTAGGCCCCCAACCCGATACGAGCCCCAGAGGGTCAACAGCGGCCTCAGTTCTGGTAAGCTGGAGGGGTTATGGGTGGGAATATCTCCATCCCCAGAGAAGGTCAAGTGCTGGAGGGAGCGGGTGGAGAACCTGGCCTAGGGACCCTGCTGCTGGGTGCGTTTCTGCAGGGAGCAAGGGTAGAAGAATTGGGAGGTGGAGTAGAGAGGAAAAGTTAGGGTCAGTGGCAGAGCCAGGCAGATGCTGACCCTTTTTCTCTTTCCCAGACCCCCACTTTGAGGAGCCGGGGCCAATGGTGAGAGGGGTGGGTGGGACTCCTCGGGACTCTGCCGGGGTTAGTCCCTTTCCCCCTAAACGTCGGGAGCGGCCTCCCAGAAAACCAGAGCTGCTACAGGAGGTAAGGGATGGGTTTGAGATTGTGCTTCACTGCACTCTTACTCGTGAAAATTCTTCTGGGTTATGTTTTCTCTGTTTTCTTTCCTGTTTCTTTCACTGTGTTTTTACTCCAGAATTCTCAGTATTAGTCTCCCATGTGTCTCCCTTGTTGTCCCCACACCCTGTGTCACCCCACTCTGTCCTGGCTTCCTATAATTCCCAATTCCCACCCAATTCATGTTTTGCTTCTGGCCCTTCTCATCTGTAGGAATCTTTGCCACCTCCTCATAGCTCTGGATTCTTGGGCTCTAAGCCTGAGGGCCCAGGCCCTCAGGCAGAGTCCAGAGATACAGGCACAGAGGCCCTGACCCCTCACATCTGGAACCGTTTACATACTGGTGAGTAAAGCTGAGTGAAAGGACTATGGTAGAAGGGTTAAGAATGAGAGGGGCTTCTGAACTGTCATCTCCTCACTTCTCTTCTGGTTGGTGCTCCCTTCTCCAGCCACTAGCCGAAAGAGTTACCGGCCCAGCTCCATGGAGCCTTGGATGGAGCCCCTGAGTCCTTTTGAGGATGTGGCTGGCACAGAAGTGAGTGAGGGTGGGAGGGTGTGTCTGAGCTGGGACTTTTTTGAGCACTGGTCATACCCCCCACCTGCTCTGGGTTGAGTCTGGAGCTGTTCTCTCACTTGGCTGTCCCCTTTCTGCAGTTTGTATGTGTGCATCAGTCAGGTATTGGGGTGCTTTCTACCCTGACTTAACTAGCTCCTTCTCCACTCCTCTCAGATGAGTCAGTCTGACAGTGGGGTGGACCTGAGTGGGGATTCTCAGGTGTCATCAGGTCCCTGCAGCCAGCGAAGTTCCCCTGATGGAGGACTCAAGGGGGCAGCAGAGGGACCCCCCAAGAGGCCTGGAGGCTCCTCACCCCTGAATGCTGTTCCTTGTGAGGGTCCACCTGGCTCTGAACCTCCTAGGAGACCACCACCTGCCCCCCACGATGGGGACAGAAAGGTAAAAGACCAAAAAAGGATAAGGGGAATGTTTCCAGGAATCTGACTTTGGCCCTACCTTTTTCTGCTTTTTCTCTCTGCGTGTGTGTTCTGGGCATTCCAATTTGGATTTCCCTTTCCCTCCCCCAATGCACTTTACTGTGTGCCCAATCCAGGAGCTGCCCCGGGAGCAGCCTCTGCCCCCTGGCCCCATTGGCACAGAACGATCACAGCGTACAGACCGAGGCACAGAGCCTGGCCCCATTCGGCCATCCCATCGACCTGGTCCCCCAGTCCAGTTTGGCACTAGTGACAAGGTCTGTGTGGGCTGGATCTGGGTATCCTGAGTTGGGTGGAGAGAAGGGAAGGACTAAAGGTGGGACATAGAGGACACATGTCTGTCACGGGACAATGTCTCCTGCCTTCTTGTGATCACAGGACTCAGACTTACGCCTAGTGGTAGGAGACAGCTTGAAAGCAGAGAAGGAGCTAACAGCATCAGTCACTGAGGTAAGTGGGAGTAAGAGTTTGGTGGAAAGGCCCAAGATTTCTGGGGAAGATTGCTGGGAGTGACCAGGGCGTCCAGGATGCCAGACATCCCTCTCCACGAGGCCTCTCCTTCCCAGGCCATTCCTGTATCACGAGACTGGGAGCTGCTTCCCAGTGCTGCTGCCTCTGCTGAGCCACAATCCAAGAACCTGGATTCTGGGCACTGTGTCCCGGAGCCCAGCTCCTCAGGCCAGCGCCTGTATCCTGAGGTTTTCTATGGCAGTGCTGGGCCTTCCAGTTCTCAGGTAGGCCCCGCTTCCCATTGCATGACCCCTTCAGTGAATAATAATTTTTTTCTGCCTGGTATGTATTTATAATCAAGCCTTTCTACGTTGCAGAGTTGTGAGATACCACTTTGTCACATCATTTTTCTCCCTACTTTTTGCTTCTATGGGTGGGATGGTGATCTTTTTTCTTGACCACAGATACTAAAGCTGTTTCAACCGTGCTCCTCTCCTGCAGATCTCTGGGGGAGCCATGGACTCTCAATTACATCCAAACAGTGGAGGCTTCCGCCCTGGGACACCCTCACTGCACCCTTACAGGTAAGACTCGATGCCTGTGGATCACAGAAGTACTTGGAGATGTGTTTCGGGGAGAGGGAAGGGGAAGACACAGTTCTAGGGTACTAGAAGCTAGTGGACTTAAGGCATTGCTAGGACTCTGGCTTCCTAACAGCTTTTCTCCCCACAATTTATTTTCAGATCACAGCCCCTATACCTACCCCCCGGCCCAGCCCCTCCCTCAGCACTGCTCTCTGGGGTAGCTCTCAAGGGCCAGTTTCTGGATTTCTCCACAATGCAAGCTACAGAGCTGGGGAAGTTGCCGGCTGGAGGAGTTCTCTACCCTCCACCTTCCTTCCTCTACTCTCCGGCTTTCTGCCCCAGTCCTTTGCCTGACACATCGTTGCTTCAGGTAAGAGGGGGGCAGGTATTAGATATTGGGGGATAGGGTAGGGAGAATGATTTTGTGGGGGTTGATATATTTCTCCCTGTTTCCCGACAGGTACGCCAGGATCTGCCATCCCCTTCGGATTTTTATTCTACTCCTCTGCAGCCTGGTGGCCAAAGTGGCTTTCTCCCTTCAGGGGCTCCTGCCCAGCAGGTATATTGTATCTTCACACTTCCCCTTCATTTGATTTCTCTGTCCAGTTGCTG
This sequence comes from Homo sapiens, assembly GCF_000001405.40. Classification (NCBI taxonomy): domain Eukaryota; kingdom Metazoa; phylum Chordata; class Mammalia; order Primates; family Hominidae; genus Homo; species Homo sapiens. Next base: position 2,941,703 of record NT_167246.2, read on the forward strand.
GCTTTGATTTTCCCTGGTTTTCTGACATTCCTCCCTGCCCCCAACATGCACACCCAAATTTCTTGTTACAGATGCTTCTACCCATGGTAGACTCACAGCTGCCTGTGGTGAACTTTGGCTCCCTGCCGCCAGCACCACCTCCTGCCCCACCTCCCCTTTCTCTGTTACCTGTGGGCCCTGCTCTGCAGCCCCCCAGCCTGGCTGTGCGGCCCCCACCTGCTCCTGCTACTCGGGTGCTGCCTTCACCTGCCAGGCCCTTCCCCGCTAGCTTGGGGCGAGCAGAGGTAAGGTACAGGAACTGAGGGGCTAGGGAGCGCCAAGACTTGGGAGTAGGGATTCTGTATTTCAAGGTAGGCAGCTCATGATTTTTTTCCCCTCAGCTGCATCCAGTGGAACTAAAGCCGTTCCAGGATTATCAAAAACTGAGCAGCAACCTTGGGGGACCTGGATCATCACGGACTCCCCCAACTGGAAGGTGAAACGGAATAGGGATGTGGACTTTCCAAGTGCTTCCTTACTTTGGAACCAGGGTCTGGATCCTAGGCTTGCCTTAGACGCCCTTCTTCCCTTAGGTCCTTCTCTGGCCTCAATTCCCGTCTCAAGGCCACGCCTTCCACCTACAGTGGAGTCTTCCGCACCCAGCGCGTCGACCTTTACCAGCAGGTGAAGGAGAAACCCTTGTGGCCCCAACTCTAAATTCGAGTTGCCACCTGATTTCCTGTCCTTCCGTCTCATCGCTGACCTCTCACTGTGACTCACTCTTTAACACATGCCTGTCCCCTAGGCCTCCCCACCAGATGCCCTGCGCTGGATACCTAAGCCTTGGGAGCGGACAGGGCCGCCACCTCGAGAAGGGCCCTCCCGACGGGCAGAGGAGCCTGGGTCCCGAGGGGACAAGGAGCCTGGGTTGCCCCCACCCCGCTGAGGGAGTTCCTCTTGCCCCCTACCCCCGGGGCTTGTATATAGATTATAAATATATAAGGGGGAAAGGGGTGGGCGGGGAGGGGTTGTGGGGCTGGGGCCTCACTTCCCCTCCTCCCCCTTCCCCTGGTCCCCTGTCCCTGGGGCTGTTTGTTAAAAAAGAGTAATAAAAGGATTTAAAAAAAAAAACTTCTACAATGATTTGGGGGATGAGTTGTTTGCATTGTCTTAAAGCATGGTGCTGAGTGATCTGTAGTTTCAGTCAGGGAAATATTCATTACTTATTCCAGTGAGCTGTTGAAACTAAAAACATGACCATCGTATTGGATCTTTAAATTTTTGTGAGTCTGGAATTTGGGCTGAGCTCAGCTGGATAAATCTGCTTTTTTGTGCCAGTGAGCGAGGTCACCTGGTTATCAGTCTGCAGCTGACACCTGGGCTGGTCCCAATATGGCTTCCTTTGCATATCTAGGGCCTTGGTGGGACATCTGTAACATTACTGGGTTATCAACCAGTGTCTTCACATGGACTCTCCAGCAGGCCTGTTAAATGTCCGTGAGCTCATGTTCCAAGAGGTCTAGCTGGAATTTTCTAAGCTTATGCCATGCTTAGTTGATAGAGCACTAAACTAGCCAAGGTAGGGGATGGGGGGGTTTAGAAGGGACTTCAACTGCATCTCAAAGGGACTAGCAAAGAATTTGCAGCCATGGGACTTCAGTTCTTTATGATGAACTAAGGGGAAATCTCTGTTAAGGCCTCAATGTTGGAGCACACTTAAGGGGCTCTTTGAATTGGATAGACCAATTCCAGCATTGTCAAACTAAGTGGGATTTCACATGGTAACGCTGCATGCTAGTTATGCTAAAGACTATACTTAGGTCTGCAGCTGCTCAGAAACTTTTTTTGATGGGTAATTTGAGAGCTCTATGCTAGTGTGCACCTGGAATATGCTCCCAACTCAAAATACAGGTTTTTTATTTATATATAAAGTGCTTTCGCACAAAAAATACAAACACCAGGCTGGGCGCGGTAGCCCACGCCTGTAATTCCAGCACTTTGGGAGGCCAAGGCGGGTGGATCACAAGGTCAGGAGTTCGAGACCAGCCTGGCCAATATGGTGAAACCCTGTCTCTACTAAAAATACAAAAATTAGCCGGGCGTGGTGGCGGACGCCTGTAGTCCCAGCTACTCAGGAGGCTGAGGCATGAGTGAGAATCACTTGAACCCGGGAGGTGGAGGTTGTAGTGAGCCGAGCTCGAGATCGGGCCACTGCACTCCAGCCTGGGAGACAGCAATACTCTGTCTCAAAAAAAAAAAAAAACAAACATCAAAACTGGCTTGTACAATTTAGCGTGCTGAGTAGAACACAACAGTGTTCCAAGGAAGTATTAATTTTAAAAAGTTCACACAAGATTAAGGGACACACTACCTAATGGAGACAATGTAGAGAGAAAGCAGCCAGAAAAATCCGACTTTTATTTCTTAAATACTGTGAAGGAAGAGGGGGGAAACGGTCCCCTGATGAGGAAGGGCCATAGAGCAAAGAGCTAAGGATCATCAGCAAAGGCCCGCTGGGCATTGGGGAAGCGCTGGGGACTGTAGTTGGGGTCTTCCTGCAGTCGTTTTTGTATATCAGACCGGAGCTAAAGAGAAAAAGTAAGCAGGTTGGAGAAACGCTGGCCAAGTCCCTATGATCCCAGCAAGCACACAAGGCCATCCCTCAGAAGCTAACATTTCCCCCCCCAAGCACGCTGTCAAATAGCCCGGGGTGGCACTGTCAAGCCTTCCCAGATGCCAAAGGGGAAAACAAATGGTAGCACCAGGCTGACCAGTTCATCGCTGAAGGGATCCAGGGAAGAGGGACCCTAGCCCAACCCCTCCCACTAGACCATCCCTATTCTGCTTCAAGGTGGCACCTGCTGCCTGTAGCTCTCCTGAACCTCTGGTGCCTCCAGGTCCCGGCTCAGGCTCTCGGGGCTCGTCAGGGGCCGAGCTCCGGCTGCCTTAGCTGCCCGGCTCACAGCCTCTGAGAGAAGCAGCTGGGGGCCCTCACCCTGCATCGTCTGGGGGACAGGGGGTTGGGAGGGAAAAGAGGATCAACGTCAGATCCAGTGCCACCATCCGGCTCACCCTTTCCATGAGTCAACCACTCCACTGAGTCTCCATGCTAGTGGAGAGAGGGGAAATTAAGAGTCCAGGATGTGGTTTTTACAGCAGAAATGCCTTCCTAATTCTCTTTGGCACTAGCCAAAACTAAAGTGAATGTGCTTGAACGTGCTCTTCAAAACGAAAGGCAGAAGGGGTCAAGCCATCCGGGATTCAGAGCTAGGTAATCCACAAGAGGAAACCCACCTTAAAGGAAAATGGGATCTAAGCACATGGGGATTAGGCAGCTGAGCAACTAATACAGGACTGCTAGCAAACAGACTAAGGTCAAGTCCTGTATGGTTATGCAACAACCAAGAGCAAGTCTGAATCCCAGAAAAAGTTTCCTCATTAAACGAGGGGAGGGGAGACTGAATAACAAGAGCTCCCACCATCTCTACATAGTTTGATTCCAGGCATGACGGGGAAACCTGGATAGAGAGAGAGGCTTAGGGAAGAGGAAAACCAACCTTGCGTCTCTTGGCAGGCATACCACTGAGGTAGGCATCACTCAGAGGGGGCTGCGGTTTCACCTTCCGCTGGCTCTGAATGTCCTGCTGGATAATAGGGACCCATTCCTGGGGAGGAAAAGAGAAAATAGTAATGTCCTTGACTTTCAGCTGCCATGACCCACTGGATTACTTCCTGACACTTACTGGGGGGACTGCAGCTGCCCAAGGTTCTGTCTCAGCTGAAGCTCCATCCTGTTCATCCCGGGAGCCCCCCTCAGGAGCAGGAGGTGGACCTCGGGACATGGCCTCTTCTGCTGTTGTTCCAGGGGCTGGGGAAGCATTCTCCCGCTGGGTGTCAGATGGCGGGAAGAGCCAGGCTTCAGAATTTTTAGCCTCCAAACCTTTCTCCCCCAGCCCTCCACTCCACATTATCTGGCCCCTCAACCTCCCCCTCTCTAGAGTACCTGAGGCTCAGGGGAAGCTCTTTCTGCTCCCTGAACTTCCATTGGCTCCTCAGGAAGTGGCTGTGAAATTAAAGAACACCATACTTCCTCTCAGATCTCTCCAGTTCTCTCAAGTACCCTGACCCCATCGCCCAACAGGTCCCTTACCTGGGGGGGATCACCAACCCTGCGAACGTATCTGAGAATGGCATCAGGGCCTACAGGCATGTGCTCCAGTACCACCTGAAGCCTCAGTCCCATCATAGTGGTCAGCCAGCTCACCAAGGAGGGATTCACCCCACGAGACATACGACGCTGAGGGACAGAAAGCAGATTTAGAACACAAAACCCTCAACCACCTTTAGAAATAGATTAGATCCAGGTTACAGAATGTCAGTTTAGAAAAGAAAAATGAAAACTGCAGAGAATGGAAACCTCAGGAAACAAAAGGCTAAGGATCTGGGGCTAGGTGGTGCTTACAATTCGGCCATTGATAACAGCAGCAAGCTCCATCTGCTGTCCCCCCAAGCAGTGCAGGTTTAGGGCCAGGCATTCAAACAGGCCTTGGTTACACAACTCCAGCAACCGGGCCCCAAATCCACTATCTGTGGGCAAAATACAAGGAGGGAATGCTGGCACGTGGCAGCCCTGCACATGCAACAGGCCCCACTTGCCCCCGCCTGGCCAGCCCCTGACCTGTGCAATGCAGCACATGCGCAGCAATGCTATTAAACTGCTCTTGGAGAAATTCCAGGTTTGTCCGGATGATGTCCACACCTGGCTGAACCTGCACCAAGGACTGAGAGACAAGATAACACAAAGATCCCAAAATCAAGAATCATAAGACTGGGAGTGGAGGAGGCAGCTGCCTTGACCAGACCCAGGAGAGGAAAGGAATAGAGAAGGGTTACTCACAAAACTCTCCCGCACATACTCTTCTAGCCCCGTGATCAATGTGTGGGTTGCCATCTGTGGAGGAAACAGAACAGGTTTAGTTCAAAGCCTCAGTCCTCCCAAGACTTCCACCTCGACCCCAACAAGTCCAGGGCTTGTGTGGGGGCAATTGGAGCTTTACCTGGCAGAGAAGCAGTCAGAAATAAGGAATAAAATGTGCAAAAGAGGAGAGTTCTGGGGCCCCTGGCCTTCATTTACCCGGATGTTACTGGGTGTGGGCTCCTGACCACCCAGGTAGTGCTGGTGGAAGAAGGATCGCAGCTGGGGCTGGAGCCGTTGTAGTGGCTGGAAATGCCCATGGAGAAGCATCACTACGTCCACCATAGAGAAGTTCTGGCACAGAAGAGAAAGCAAGGCCCCAAAGAATCCTGGGGGACAAGGGCAGATGTTAGCAATGGCCTTTACCACCTGGCCTGCCCACCCACAACCAGATCATCAACCTCATCCCACCTTGGCAACACCCCTAAACCAAGGCCATCTACATTCCTCTGGCTGCCCCTTCCTGGAGCAAGCCAAAGCATCCTTTTTGCTCACCAAGGGCCCCATCAGCTCCAGGCTCAAAGATGTTGCTGGATCCACTGAGGCGTTGTATGAAGGCAGCAATACTTTCACTGCTGCCAGCCCGAGCCCCCAGGGAGCCCAGCAGGGAGCTGAGCACACCCTGCACCACTGAGGTAAAAAACTCCGGTGACAGGCTCTCAAGACCCAGGCCTCCAGGACTCCCTGCGCCACCAGAAGGGGAGCCTGGTGGGGGCATGGTCTGCTGCTCTGGGGCAGGTGGTGGGGGTGGAGGAGGTGGGGGTGGTGGAGGGGCTGTCTGTGTTGCCTGGCAAATAAAGAACAAAGAACAGAAAGTGAGGTGAGAATGAAGACACACGGAAATAATACGGCATCAAGAGGGCACAAACCAACGGGTCTGGGAAGATGGGGAGTTACATTCTGATCTTCACTGCTTAAAGCAGAAGTATGGTAGGTATTTAACAGAGTCAGGCAGCACAACTTACCTACCTCTTCCTCTGAACAGGTTGTCAGAAAGCAGTGACACTAATTACTATACTTTCTTTTTCTAAACCTCATTTTCTTCATCTTTAAAATGAAAGGTTCAGAGTCAATGAATTCCCAGGGCCCCTTCCCCTAACATGTCACTAGGGGCTCTTACCCAGTGGTTATGTAATGGCAAGAAGGTACCACTGCCTGGCTGGGCCGGGGGACAGGAAGATGAGGTGAATGGCAAGCCAGCCACTCACCTGCAAGAAGTCAGTCATGCCTTGGAGAAAGGCAGGGACACCAGGCATCGCCACAGTGATGGTGGGAGAAGCCACACCAGGCCCTCCAGCCCCTGGCCCTGCAGGCCCTAGCAGGTTCCCCAGAAGCTGAGAGAACTGAAGATCAGCCATGGAGGGTTGAGGGGTGGGTGGAGGCTGGGCAGGCCCCCCAGGAGCGGGGCCAGCTGTGGTAGCTGTGTTGGTGGTGCCAGCACTGGCAGAAGCAGTGGCAGGGGCTGGCGGTGGAGCCATACCTGGGGTCCCCTGAGCTGTAAGAAACCAAAAAAAGAAAGCTGGGCTGAGCATGGTGGCTCTTGGCTGTAATCCTAGCAACTTTGGGAGGCCAAGGCATGAGAACTGCTTGAGCCCAGGAGTCTAGGCCACATAGCAAGACCCCATCTCTACCAGAAAAAAAAAAAGACAATTACTAGCCAGGAGCTAGTACTGCTAGCTACTCAGGAGGCTGAGGTGGGAGAACTGTTTGAGCCCAGGAGTTCAAGGTTACAGTGAGCTTTAACTCACTGGATTGCACCACTGCACTCCAGTCTGGGTGACAGAGCAAGACTCTGTAACTTAAAAAAAAAAGAAAAAAGCTGGCCGGGCACGATGGCTCAAGCCTGTAATCCCAGCACTTTGGGAGGCCAAGGTGGGTGGATCACAAGGTCAAGAGTTCGAGACCATCCTGGCCAACATGGTGAAACCCCCTTCTCTACTAAAAACATAAAAAATTAGCTGGGCGTGGTGGCGTGCACCTGTAGTCCCAGCTACTCAGGAGGCTGAGGCAGGAGAATCACTTGAACCCGGGAGGCAGAGGTTGCAGTGAGCCAAGATTGTACACTGCACTCCAGCCTAGCAACAGAGTGAGACTCCATCTCAAAAAAAAAAAAAAAAAAAAAAAAAAAAAAAAAAAGCTGAAACCTGAAGACACAAGACACTACAGCAGCCCCATTCCAGGAAAGCAGGAACCAAGAAAATATGGAAAGAACTGGAAAGTGCCAGTGAGCAGACTAGGAAAGGAGTTTAAACTCTGAGTGGGGAAGAATGAAAACTCACCCACAAGGACTGGCTGCATAAGAAGCTGCCCCACAAGGCCGCTCACCATCTGGGCCAACGAGGCATTGGTACCCAGACCGGCGCCCTGCTGGATAGAGAGCAAGGGAGAACTTCAGACCTGCCCTTCCATGCACCACCACAGGAGTCTCTCCCTAGACTGTTACGCACTAGAACTCCCCGACCCTTGCTCACCAGTGTCCCAGAGACTGGGGGCCCTCCAGGATGGGAAGGCCGAGCCTGTGGAGGAGTGGGCCGGGCAATCACCACCCGGGTTGGAGCTGTTGGGAAGCCTGGCACCTGCTGTCCTGTGGGTGGCAGAAGAGACAGACCGAAGAGGGCTGAGGGCCAGGCCCTTGCCAGCCAGCTGCCACCATGGACTGTGCCCTACCTCCCAAGCCTCCCCTTCCAGGTCATTACCTGCGGCCGCGGAGGCAACAGCTGCCACCATGGCCTGATGAGTGATCTGGTGGGCGACGGCGTGCATGAACTCAGGGGGCAGGGAGGGCAGCTGGATGAGGGTGGAGCCTGGGGGGCGGGTCTGATGTAACCTTGAACCTGGACCCCTTCAACCCACCCACTCAGCCCTTCCCTTTCTCTACCCAGAGCTCAGCCTGCCCTGATGCCCTCACTCTTACCCAGGGTTTGGCCATGACCAGGGGGTCCCAGGGGGCCAGTGGGAGCACTCGGAACACCACCAGGCTGTGTGCCAGAATCTGGGCAGGGAGACAGAGACAGTGGCCCTGAGGTAGGTAGGGCCAAGGCCTAACTATATCCTTCTGAGATCAGGCATACTTCAGGCCCATAATCCCCCAATCAGAAAGCCTGCCTTTCCCTCCATCTAAACAGGGAGAGGTACTCCCTTCACCACACAAACACACCTCCAAAGACAAACCAACCCCCACACCCCCCACATCTGTCTACTTAAGCTTCTGCTCTGGTCCCCAGGCTACCACCACCAGCATGTGCCTCTCCCTTCCCCACCCTGTTCCCTCACACCTCAGCATGAACCTCCCTCATCATGCTGATCCTGCTCTTCTCGCCAGCAACTATTCTCACCTTGAATGTTCATGTGCATCATGACCACGGGTTCCACACTCTGGTGGGAAATCCGGATGACCCTCGGGTGGCTGGTGGCTGGCGGGGGAGCTGGACCTGGCGGGGGAGCCCCCTCAGCTGAGGACTCGACATTGGTAGAAGACGGAGCCACGGATGAGGCCTGCCCAGGACCAGGGGGAGGTGCCTCTGCATTGGGAGTTGGGGGGGGCCGAGTCCCATTTCCTGTCATGGTCACAGTGGTTCCCACATTGATCTGAAAAAGACAGATGGACAGGCAGATGTGAGAAAAATACAAGAGCCTAACCAAGAAAACCTCATGATAAACCTCTAAAGTATCTCCAGCCTTCATCACCATGTTTCCAGTCTCCTCCTTTCCTAACCTCCTTCAGGCCCAGTAGCTACCCTGGGTCACTCTATCAACACCCCTCACTCTCCCTCAGGCCAGACTCCCCCTAACCCACCTGTATGGGAATGGCTGCCTGCTGGAGCACCATGGGGGTGGTGTAGTGAGACATAGGCCGGACCACATGCAGGTGTCGTGGGGGCGTGCAGGCCAGATTGCAGCGCAGGTCAGACAGTGCAACAAAGGTGTTGCCCAGCAGTCGCAGGCTCTCCCCTACCAAGTTGATCAACCGCTGATCCTCCTCCCGGCCCTCGTGCTGCGCACAACCAGCCAAACACAAAAAGGCAGAAAATATCAAGCTGGAGTCCATCTCACTAATAAAAGCAATAATGCCTACTGAGAATACCATGTCCTCCAAAACTTTCAGTTATATCCTTGGAAGTTTACATGTAGACCAAATCTTTGCAAATAAATTATATCTTATTCACATAAGGAACATCCTATTAAAACACTACTATGAATCAGTAAGTCATCATATACTGATCTCCTGTACTTTACATTTTCTAAATTCATTCAGGGGCACAAGGGGTACGATACGAGGACAGTGCTTACAGCAAAGATTATCACCTTCTCTGTAAGGGAGGACAAAATCACTTACAGGTTTAGAGAGAAATTGTTTTGTTGCAATGTGTGTTTTTTTGTTTTGTTTTGTTTTTTGAGACAGTCTCGCTCTGTCACCCAGGCTAGAGTGCAGTAGTGCAATCTCGGCTCACTGCAACCCCCTCCTCCCGAGTTCTAGCGATTCTCCTGCCTCAGCCTCCTGAGTAGCTGGGATTACAGGTGTGCACCACTACATCCAGCTAATGTTTATATTTTCAGTAGAGATGGGGTTGCACCATGTTGGCCAGGCTGGTCTCAAACTCCCGATCTCAGATGATCCGCCCACCTTGGCCTCCCAAAGTGCTGGGATTACAGGCGTGAGCCACTGCACCTGGCCCTGTTGCAATGTTTTTCCAGGGAGGGAAAGAGTTATCTGTATTTCAGCCTGTTCTGTTTTGGGAGTACTGGGGCTGAGGAGAAAGGGCAGGGCCATCAAAGGGCTCACATTGTTATTGTAGTCCGTGGTGGCAGCAGCACCCAGAACCTCGTAGTAGCGCTGCAAGAAGGGCTGGAGGCGACTCTCCAGCCGCTGTAGCTCCTGGAGCACCTCGACATACTCCGCAGGGGAAGGATGGCTGTGGACAAACCCAAGGGGCAATGAGCCAAAGCCTTCCTCAGATTCCCACCCTCACAGTCAACAGGGACCACATGTGCCCTCTTTCTCCCTGGTCTCCCAGAGCCCTGGCCCAATCCTTCTCTGGACCAGCAGAGCTTCTATTCTCTTCAACCTCCGCCTCCCAGGTTCAAACGATTCTCCTGCCTCTGCCTCCCAAGTAGCTGGGATTAAGTTGCCTGCCACCACACCCGGCTAATTTTTGTTTTTTTTTTTTTTTTTTTTTTTTTGAGACAGAGTCTCGCTCTATCACCCAGGCTGGAGTGCAGTGGTGCGACCTCAGCTCACTGCAAGCTCCGTCTCCTGGGTTCACACCATTCTCCTGACTCAGCCTCCCGAGTAGCTGGGACTACAGGTGCCCGCCACCATGCCCAGCTAATTTTTTGTATTTTTAGTAGAGACGGGGTTTCATCATGTTAGCCAGGATAGTCTCGATCTCTTGACCTCATGATCCACCCGCCTCGGCCTCCCAAAGTGCTGGGATTACAGGCGTGAGCCACTGTGCCCGGCCTGTATTTTTTAGTAGAGACAGGGTTTCACCATGTTGGCCAGGCTGGTCTCGAACTCCTGACCTCAGGTGATCTGCCCGCCTCTGCCTCCCAAAGTGCTGAGATTACAGGCATGAGCCACTGCACCCAGCCAAAGCTTCTATTCTTTACTCCCACCCATGAGAGGATAGGGAGAAGAAAATGAACTGCTCCCACCCTCCCCACCACAATCCTGCACCTACAATGGTGAAAGACTAATTCTAAGAAAGAGAGCAGGCCTTCGTGAACTCAGAGGAGAATTCCGATCAGGCTCAGGAGATACCATTTGGATTTCCTTGCCGTAGGGAGAGCAGCAGTTCTTCTCAGCTGCCTGTCCTAGCGTCATTTACCTATACCGAGAGAGCCCCTCCTCGCCCCTCAATGCTAACCCTTCAACTAAGACCTCCAAGTAATCCTTTCCCTCCCTTGCCATGGTTCATTTCCTTCTCCCCATACTTCACTTAGGATTCCCCACCCACTAAAGATTCCCTCCATCTCTCACTTGGGTGCATTTGTTTCCGGGGCAGGTGTTGGGCCCGCTGGGGCTGGGCCAGGAGTGAGCTCCGGGTTCTGGGCTGGGGCACGCTCCTCCACTTCTTCTGCCTCCATGGGCTCCCGGGGAGGTGCTTCACTTTCAACTGGTTCTGATGTTTGAGAGCTCAAGGCTACTGGCTCCGGGGTCACAGCCGGTGGCTGCGGGGGCGGCTGACTGTGCTGCGGTTGGGGCCCTCCTCGACACTGAAGGTAGGGGAGAGTCAGGATACCAAAGGCAGGGTAAGACTGCTGCAGAGGATTACTCTACAGGAGACTGAACAGAGAAAGTATCCTAACTAGACTCCCTGAAGGCATGGCTCTGCAATTTTATCTCCGACTCGCTAGCAACTAGCATAAGACTGACACAAATTAGATGCATAATAAGCATCTGTAATTTTTTTTTTTTTTTTTGAGACAGAGTCTCGCTCTGTTGCCCAGGCTGGAGTGCAGTGGCATGATCTCAGCTCACTGTAACCTCCGCCTCCCAGGTTCAAGAAATTCTCTTGCCTCAGCCTTCTAAGTAGCCAGGCCTACAGGCGCGTGCCACCACACCCAACTAATTTTTGTACTTGTAGTAGAGACAGGGTTTCACCATGTTGGCCAGGCTGGATTGGAACTCCTGACCACACGTTATCCCCCTGCCATGGCGACCCAAAGTGCTGGGATTACAGGCAGGAGCCACCACACCCGGCCACAGCATCTGTAATATTTGTAAATAAATTTCTAACAAAGAGTAGAGATTGTGGTTTCCTTTCCTCCACAAGTTGGTTTCCCAGCCTCCACAAGTTAAGAGAGTAGAATCCTTTAATTGAAAAGAGATGCCATGAGACTAAGTCTGAAACAAACTCCCCAGATACCAGGCACCAAGAGGATTGGCAGAAATGAGAGAGCCTCACAAAGATACTTTTTCTGCCCAAAAGAATGAATACTGCAGAGAAGACTAGATTATGAAGGCCAAACCCTGTGGATGTGGCCAGTGAAGCCCTAACTCCCAGGCTGAGAGAAAAGGGAGAGGGAGGGTGGAGAGAGACCCTAGCCAGCCTTGCCCACTTACCTCCATCCGGGATAGTAAGGTCTGTATATCCCTGATCATGTGCTGAGCCATCACCAGCCGTACCCGGGGCTCACTCTACAATGAGAGAAGGTTTATCAGGGTAGGTTACAGATGAAGCCATGAGTTCTACCACCTACTAAATCAGGTCCCAGCCATCTCTCAGCCAGGTCCACCCCACCTCCCAGCCTCCTTCTCCCAGATCCCCTTCCCTGACCCTCGGAGGCCCCTCAATACCTGAATCGGGGCCTGTTCCATGTTGATGTGAACATCCACAGCAGAGCCGTCACTCTGGGGAAAGGGTAAGGGAAGTTGTTCTGGGAGAAGCCAACACTAAGGCCTCCACACCTCCAATTCATTCCCTGGAGCCCTACCTCCTTTTCTCCTTAAAGACTGAGACCAATAGCACACCACAGGGCCCCCTGAACCCAATCTAAAGATGGAAGCATCTATCTTATTAATTCCCTGGTGCTACCACAACCAAAGCTACCCACAAAAGCCCTCCCCTGTGGAACATAAGCTTACAGGAAGATTGAAGGTTCCAACCATGACATAGCTGTTGGCATTCCGGTCATGAACAGAGGCCCCAGGCCCCCGAGTACCAGGGGGGGATCCCCCACCATGAGTGGCTGAGGCAGACCCCGTCCCAGAAGATGCCCCAGAAGGGAGGTGAGTCTGAGGAGGAGCCCGTTCCACCAGGTGGATAACCTTTCCCCCAACATCTGCAGAAAAATAGACACACACCAAAACATAGTATGAACAGGTAAACCCATGGCCTCAGTTCATCCCTCCAGACAGTAGCCCCAACCTCTGAACTGCCTCCCCAGCCCCCTTACTGTATTCCTGAAGCTTCTTATCATCTTGCAGAACTCGTCCCTGGTAAATGAGCCGTTGTTTTTCAGATGGGATGCTGACAGAGGCAGCAATGTGCTCCTTAAACTCTTTTACATTCATCTGAAAAGAAGAGGCATGCACAGGAATGGAAAGAATGGAGGAAAGAGGAAGAACAAAGACAGACAACCGAGTTGTGGAGGTGAGGGGTAAAAACCACCACAGAATCACTACCCGTTTGTCTTGACCGTGAGATCATTACTGTGCAAACCCTTAAACTAAAGTAACAGCTGTCAAAATACAGACAATAAATTTGGCTTGGCGCGGTGGCTCACACCTGTAATCCCAGCACTTTGGGAGGCCAAGGCAGGCAGATCACATTAGGTCAGGAGTTCGAGACCAGCCTGGCCAACATGGTAAAACCCCTTTTTTACCAAAAATACAAAAAAATAAGCCAGGCATGGTGGTCGCCTGTAATCCCAGCTACTAGGGAGGCTGAAGCAAGAGAATCACTTGAATTCGGGAGGCGGAGGTTGCAGTGAGCCGAGATCGCATCACTACACTCTAGCCTGGGTGACAGAGAGGGACTCCATCTCAAAAAATTAAATAAATAAACTTAATGAAGCTCAGGTTATAGATCCAGGAAAAATAACACGGATGAAAAACAAAAAAAAAACACATGGACATTATATTATCTGTCTGGCATCCAAGGGAGTATGTGTCTAGAGACATCAGTGACCCCTTTCCAAACACAAGATGATACCAGTTTATTTACCAGACTCTCCTGTGATTTCCAAGATTAAAAAATGGCAAAGAAGATGGGGTCTGGTATCAGGTTAATGAAGAAAGACTAAGAAGATAAGAAAGCAAAAAAGGTCCCAGCACAGTGGCTCACACCTGTAATCCCAGCACTTTGGGAGGCCGAGGCAGGTGGATCACCTGAGGTCAGGAGTTCAAGACCAGCCTGGCCAACACGGTAAAACCCTGTCTCTACTAAAAATACAAAAATTAGCCGGGCGTGGTAGTAGGCGTCGTCTGTAATCCCAGATACTCAGGAGGCTGAGGCAGGAAAATTGCTTGAACCCAGGAGGCAGAGGTTGCAGTGAGCTGAGATTGCGCCCCAGCCCTCCATCCTGGGCAACAAGAGCAAAACTCCATCTCAAAAAAAAAAAAAAAAGCAAAAAGAGAAATATTTTTCCTAACTACAAACTGACTCTTGGGAAGTACCAGAGTATTTATATACATCTAATCACAAGTCTATATATGGCTTTCTTATATCCAGGTAATATCACATTTTAGAAAACCATGGACCACCCCACATGCAATTTGTCTCCAAGTATTACAGGAGTAAAGACACAGATAGCTATGTCCAAGGCTTTAAGCTCAAGAGACTCAAGCTATGCCATAAAAATTAGTAATTTCACTCAACAGTCTATCAAGGACCTATCTCCATTATGGGTTCTGATTTCTACCCTTTAAAAACACAGCATAGACCTGACCAATGTCTATCAGTAAGACACACTTGCTTAGGGTTCCTGTGCTGTTTCCCTTCCCAAAGGCCAGAGCCATGCCTGTCCCTTTGGGTTGGGGTCCACCCATGATGATGACACACAGATTCTTCCTTCCTCTGTATTTCCCTCTGCATTAAGTTCTATCCATGTGGAGGACAGAACAAAATCAGCCTCACTCACAAAACATCAGAAAACGTTCTACTGGAATACGAACAAAGGGATCAATAAAAAGAAAATCTGAGGCCAGGTGCGGTGGCTCATGCCTGTAATACCAGCACTTTGGGAGGCCGAGGAGGGCACATCACCTGAGGTAAGGAGTTCGAGACCAGCCTGACCAACATGGTGAAACCCCGTCTCTACTAAAAATACAAAAATCAGCTGGGTATAGTGGCACACGCCTATAATCCCAGCTACTCAGGAGGCTGAGATAGGAAAATCGCTTGAACCCAAGAGGTGGAAGTTTCAGTGAGTCGAGATCGCGCCACTGCACTCCAGCCTGGAAGACAGGGCGTGACTCCATCTCAAAAAAAAGAAAAAAAAAGAAAATCTGGTGACCAGAAAATCAAGCTCATCTCTCAGGCTAAGGGGCCTAAACGAGGAAAAGCTAAAGGTGTCTTCCAGAACTAGTGAGGTGTCTCACCTGGGCCCCCACAATAAAGGTACGAGTTTGAGAGTCCAAGGTCTTCACCAACACCTCCAAGCTGTCAGGCTCCTCCACAGCGGTACTGGTACTATCATTAGGCTCCATGGCCGACAGGTCTCTAAAGAAGAACGAAGGAAGGAAGGCCCGCTGTTGCCCAGACCAGAGTGTACCCGAAAGACTCCCTAGCATTAATCCCTGCCCCAATACCTAAAAAGTTTCTCCTGCACACACACACATTCACACCTGTCCCCATCCCCCTTCTGATTCCGGGGCACAGGGAGAGAAACACAAAGGGCAGGAGATCGACGGCTTAGGGAGCTGGAGGACGAGAGGTGGGAGGGGCTCCACGACGCCAATCACAATAAGCAGGGAGCCAGTCAGATTAGGAAGGAAGCACGAGACCAGAGACTAGTGTCATCACCGGTCACGGCAGGACAAGCGCCCCAGAGGTCGGAAAATCCTGGGACAACGCGAAAGCGGTGGTCGCCCCACACTCTGCGGAGAAAGTGGTTTCGCGCACGCGCGCCACGCCCATCGAACCCTCCTAACTCACTATAGACCCGAAACGGCACTCACGGGGCGACAGACCTGCTAGCTGACTGCCCGCGTCTACTGCCTTCCCACGGTGTTCCAGCAGAACGGCACAACTAACCCACAGCCAAACACACACACACACACACACACACACACACACACACACACCCACCACCCCGCGGCTCCGCCCCCGACTTCCCCACGGACCGTCACTTCCGGTCTCCCCCAAACCTGCCACCGACGGCCACTTCCGTTTCCCCGATAGTATTTGGGGATCTCGAAGCGATACTTCCGGCTCCCCCCAGGTCCCCAAGCTTTACTTTTGTGGGGCACGACGAGAAAGTCCGCAGCCCCAAACAGTGAGTTTCTGAGGGCGAGTCGGGCCGGGGCCGGCCTAGGTGGGAGGGAGCCGAGCACCCCGAGGAGCCGCCACCGCTGTCGCCCGGGGGACCGTACTACGCCTGCGTGCGTCGCACTACGGATGCGTGGACACTTAAGCATCGCCCCACCCCCTCCCCCCTCTGGCGGCGTTCACGTCTGTGCGCGCGCTTGAGCGCTAGAAGATTGAGGTGGCTACCGTAAATGCCTGAAAAACAGTCACCAGCTGGGACTCTACCACTGCCTCGAGAGGGGCTATGGACGGTCGTATGGACCTTGGACTTTGGAGATGGGGGATTATGCCACATTCATCTATGTTTAAATCTTGGCAGGCTGATAATTTCAGGCGGCACTGTCCTAGCCAGCTAAAACTCTTCTCCACCCTATTGCCCTCGCTGCGCCCTTTCTTCTGTGCCTCCGGAAGTTACTCTTTCAGTAGGCGTTTGGGGGCGGCACTGGTCAATTTTGTTCTCGGTTGCTTGGTTGGGCTAGATTTCGGTTCTGCCGGGTGGGCGTTTTAAGGGCTGTGGGCGTCACATTCGTCGGTGTGTGGCCAAGGGGACATGACACGTTTTAGGAAAAGTAAACGTGCTACTAAGTTGCACGACTTGTCAAGAAAAGAGGCGCTTCCGAGTTTGAGAATTGGGAGCAAATGGAGTCCGAGTGGACAGAAAGACAAGACCCTGACCGTGGGGAATTTAAAGGCCGGCCAGCGTGCTTCCGAAGGCCGGGGGTGGAGGCATTACCGCCTCTCCGTGCCCTCTTCTCTTAACCTGCCCTGGGCCAAGGGCCTCGGCCCCGCGAAACTGCGAGTCCTCCAGAAAGACACATCGCTGTTGGGGTGTCCAACCTTTCTGGGATTCGTAGTTTATACCCAGGTCCTGGTTATATTTTAGTTAAGAGTTCTAATAAGCAGCTGTTTAATGAGCACTTGTGCCAGCCCATATACTACGGGTTTTGTGTATTATTTTAAAAAGCCTTTTAACGAGCTTTTAACATTTTTTAAGTGAGTACACTTAGACGAACATAAGTGTCAGAATTGACAAATCCAGGCCTACAGGACTCCAGATCGAGCACTTGTACTTTACTGCCCCAATAAAAAGCTGTTAACATTTTAGCTTATTTTTTTGAGAGAGGGTCTCGCTTTGTCGCCCAGGCTGGAGTGCAGTGGCGCAATCACAACTCACTGTAGCCTCTGCCTCCCGAGCCCAACCGATCTTCCCACCTCAGCCTCCCTAGTAGGGACCACAGATGCACACCACCACACCTGGCTAATTTTATTTTTATAGAGATGGGGTCTTGCTATGTTGCCCAGCCTGGTCTTGCAGACTTGGCCTCCCAAAGTGCTGGGATTATAGGTGTGAGCTACTGTGCCTAACCACATTTTAGCTTTTTATTACAAAAATTTTCGGCCGGGCGCAGTGACTCACACTTGGGAGGATGAGGCGGGTGGATCACGAGGTCAGGAGTTCAAGACCAGCCTGGCCAAAATGGTGAAACCCCATCTCTACTAAAAATACAAAAATTAGCCTGGCGTGGTGGCGGGCGCCTGTAATCCCAGCTACTTGGGAGGCTGAGGCAGAGAATTGCTTTGAACCCGGGAGGTGGAGATTGCAGTGAGCCAAGATCGCGCCACTGCACTCCAGCTTGGGCAACAGAACGAGACTCCCATCTCAAAAAAAAAAAAAAAAAAATTCAAACATTACACCAAAATAGAACAGTATTAATAAACTCTAATATACTGGTCACCCAAATTTTGTTTGTTTTTTAACTAAATCGCAAGCCTCAGCCCTCGGCAAATTTTTTGTGGCAGTCCATGGGATATAAATTTATCAAGCTAGGTGTGGTGGCTCATGCCTGTAATCCCAACACTTTAGGAGGCTAAGGTGGGCCGACTGCTTGAGCTCAGGAGTTTAATACCAGCCTGGGGCAACATGGTGAAACTCCGTGTCTACAAAAAATTAGCTAGGCGTGATGGCGTGCACCTATACCTCCTACTCGGGAATCATCTGAGCCGGGGAAGTCAAAGTCATGCCTGGGCGACAGAGTGAGACCCTGTCTTAAAAATAAATAAGTAAATAAATAATCTATCGAGGAAGATCCATCTCTCACAGCATTAACTGCTCCAGTCACTTGGTGCTATCCAAGGACAACCTATTTGGCAATTCTTACTGCCTATTATTTGAGAACTTATTACCCACCAGAAACTAAGTGCTTTGCAAACATTACTATTAATTATAGCAAATATATACTTTGGACTTACCATGTGCAAGTCTTTGCTAAGGGCTTTATGTGCATTATTTCATTTAATCCTATAAGATTGATGATTTGCCAATTTTACAGATGAAAAAACAGACATAGCAGTTAGGGGTTGGTGGTGTTTTGTTTGTTTGGAGACAGAGTCTCTGTCGCCCAAGCTGGAGTGCAGTGGCACAATCAGGGCTCATTGCAGCCTCGACATCCCAGGCTCAAGCAATCCTCCCTCCTCAGCCTCCCTAGTAGCTGGGACTACAGGCGTGTGCCACCACATCGGCTAATTTTTGTATTTTTTGTAGAGACAGAGTTTTGCCATGTAGCCCAGGCTGGTTTTGAACTCCTGGGCTCAAGCCATCCGCCCACCTTGGCCTCTCAAAGTGCTGAGATTACAGGCATGAGCTACCTGCCCTGCCTGTAGTTAGGGTTTGGACACATTCTGCCTGACACCAACATCTATCCTCTCTAACAGCCAGATTACATAGCCTCTTTGTAGTAATAAATGTTGAGTGAATGTGTCAGTGAACACTGCCAGGGTATACATATTTTTCTAATTGTAAACTAAAGAGAGCAATCCACCGTGCCCCAGCACCTGCATCATACCTGTTCTAAAGCATTTACCAAGTTGTATTGCAATGGTTTGTCTACACAGCTAGTTTTCCCTCTAACGACTTCTTCAAGATCAGGGGCTATGTCTTATTCGTTTTTTTATGTCCCCGGGGATTAGCTAGTTCTTGGGAAACAACTGGGACTTGGGATTCAAAACAGTTTGCTAAGTGAATGAATGAGAGGCCCAGTCAAGCTACTTCCCTTCAGTGCTGCACAGTGCAACAAATAACCAGCTCAGATACAGGTTCAAAGACCACAGGCTTCTCCCTGGACAGCTCAGCTCTCCTCATAACTCCTGAGAAACCCTGGACATGCCAGGGTGTACTATGGAGTGGTTGCATCCGGAAGAGGGGGAGGAAGTCCCAAACACTAAGTAATCCAGGTTTGGGTTGGAAAACAAGGTTGAAGTTACTCATTAGCAGGTGAAAGGGTCAAGGGTCGAACGCAAGGGAGCTGAAAGCAGAGTGGACTGAGCAGCCAGTAGGGGAGAGAGCAGTTAAGGCACACAGAGCACCAGCTCCCTCCTGCCTGAAGATGTTCCACCAAATTTGGGCAGCTCTGCTCTACTTCTATGGTATTATCCTTAACTCCATCTACCAGTGCCCTGAGCACAGTCAACTGACAACTCTGGGCGTGGATGGGAAGGAGGTATGGACTGAGATTGGGGGAAGCCTATGGTGGAGGCTCTGAGGGACTTGGGTGGATGGCCTAGGATGACTGGAGACCATCTTGGGAAAGGAAGAGAGGAAGGGGGTGTGAGTGTTGTGATAATGAAAGCAAGAAGAAAAATATCAGTACTGTGGCCATCAATGCAGAGGCATGGCAGAATTGGGGGGTGGGGTGGTTACCCAGGTTGACTGGGGAGGGGCAAAGAGGAAAAGTCATTTAATGACTCTTTGTCATGGATCCAATCCCCAGTTGGAAAGAGGAAGGCAGCCAACACCTCTACCCCTAAATCTTGCTGTTTTGACTGATGAAGAGGTTGAACCCATCCTGTGCTGGAACCCACCCTCTTTTGCTCCCTTCATTGTCTCTCCAGTTCCCAGAGGTCCACTTGGGCCAGTGGTACTTTATCGCAGGGGCAGCTCCCACCAAGGAGGAGTTGGCAACTTTTGACCCTGTGGACAACATTGTCTTCAATATGGCTGCTGGCTCTGCCCCGATGCAGCTCCACCTTCGTGCTACCATCCGCATGTGAGTGGTAAGGAGGCAGAAGCATCACTGGGTTCAGTCTCTGCCCAAAGTGTGAGAATCCACCCACCAAGAGCTGGCCTCTTAGCTGGTATATCTACTATGCTTGGCCCACGGAATTCAGTGGCTGTATTAATTGCCCTCTGGAGAAAGATGTGCCTAACCAATGCTTGGTAGCTTGAAACCCAAGGAGAGCTGGGCTTCAATAACAAATACAATGGAGTAAATAGAAGCCGGGACAGGCCAGACGTGGTGGCTCACGCCTGTAATCCCAGCACTTTGGGAGGCTGAGGCGGACAGATCACGAGGTCAGGAGATCGAGACCATCCTGGCTAACACAGTGAAACCCCGTCTCTACTAAAAATATAAAAAACTAGCTGGGCATGGTGGTGGGCACCTGTAGTCCCAGCTACTCACGAGGTTGAGGCAGGAGAATGGCGTGAACCCGGGAGGCAGAGCTTGCAGTGAGCCGAGATGGCGCCACTGCACTCCAGCCTGGGCAACAGAGTGAGACTCTGTCTCAAAAAAAAAAAAAAGAAGCTGGGACACTATGGTTGGGGTGATGCTCATTCTTTCCTCCTTGCCACCACCACCTCTGCAGGAAAGATGGGCTCTGTGTGCCCCGGAAATGGATCTACCACCTGACTGAAGGGAGCACAGATCTCAGAACTGAAGGTTGGTTCTTCCCAGCCCTCACCCTCCCTTGAGTTTGGTTCTGCATCTCTGTTCTCATACTTCTCCCACCTGCCTTGACAGGCCGCCCTGACATGAAGACTGAGCTCTTTTCCAGCTCATGCCCAGGTGGAATCATGCTGAATGAGACAGGCCAGGGTTACCAGCGCTTTCTCCTCTACAGTGAGTAGGGATACAAGGCAGGAAGGGTTGGAGGGAAACAAGGGAGGGCAGGAGAACTCCTCACTCTGGGTCCTATGACACCCTCCCAGGAAGAGCTAGGTGCTTCCAGGGGTTTTGACTGGCCTGACCCCACCTTGCCCTTCCAGATCGCTCACCACATCCTCCCGAAAAGTGTGTGGAGGAATTCAAGTCCCTGACTTCCTGCCTGGACTCCAAAGCCTTCTTATTGACTCCTAGGAATCAAGGTAAGGGGTTAAAATCTCATAAAACAGGATTAGGACTCACCAAGTCTTCTGGTGTTACAGGGTGAAAGAGGCTCGTGTGATGTCACCAGAGGGATGTGGCTAAGAGCTGTGATGTCACCTGAGGGAGGCAGGATGGGTTCTGGGCTACTCAAAAGAGAGGTTTCTGAGTTTGCACTGGATAAAGGGGGCAGAGGGTCATACGTGGAGGGAAAAGAGCCTTAGAGACTCCCCTTTGACACAGGGAATGAAAGAACACGTTCTCCCCCACCCCATTACTATCAACTTTGCTTTTCTCCCTGGACTTCCCTTCTGTCCTTCTTTTTCCCTCCCCCCATCACAGAGGCCTGTGAGCTGTCCAATAACTGACCTGTAACTTCATCTAAGTCCCCAGATGGGTACAATGGGAGCTGAGTTGTTGGAGGGAGAAGCTGGAGACTTCCAGCTCCAGCTCCCACTCAAGATAATAAAGATAATTTTTCAATCCTCATCTCATTCTGGGGTTTGTCTCCAGACGTCATTCCCACTCCTCCCATTTCAACATTCCCCCTGGATCCTCTACCACCTAAACTCCCAGCTGGACGGTGTCAGTAAGAACAGAGTGGCAGTAACTCTCACTTTGTAGTGGTATATTTAGGATTTGATGTGACACAGTTATTTATTGCTGAGTGAGCAAACCCCTAGCCCCCAAGTGGGGACTACAGGCTTCAGTGCTTCCCCCACACTGCCTGAGCTACCAGCCCTTCTGCACTGGCCCTCCTGCCAATACTGCCTGCACTGTCCCCACTCCCTCTGGCTCCCATGATCACCAGATCCGCCCTGCAGGCTCCCTGTCACCTGTGGGGCCCTATCCAGACCCCCTAATCCACTTGCCTAGCAGCCCCACTCTTCCCTCGATGGCTCAGATCCTGAGATCCAAGGAACACCCTGGGTTTCCCAACCACTCTCTTACTGCAGAGGTCTGTCTATCCTGCCCTGGTCTCCTCCACCCCAGGAGAGTTTTCAAAGGTAGAGAGGACCCTTTGGTCTTTATTCACCACCATCATACTTTTTTTTTTTTTTTGCTTTTAAAAAGTGGAGGTGGAAAAAAAAAAAAAACTGAAGGTGGGAGAAAAGTAAAAGCAAAAATAACAGCTGGTGAATCCAAGAGCAGTGCCCTCACTGTCCATAAACACAAACACCCTAAATAGTTCTGTTCTCTCCTGTGTATGAAGGGGGGCCCTGCACCCTCGTACTCGGGTTTCTTCCCCATCCCTGAGGTCCCTATGCTTACAATTTGGGTCATGCCTCACACTTTTCTCCTAAAGCCCACACTCTCTTCACCCTTTGCCCCCACCCCACGGTCACAGCCCCTTTCCCGGGTCTCCCCTCTGCTCCTCACCTTCCCTCTCCAACCCCTCACTCTCCCAGTCAGTGGCCGCCTCATCCCCATTGGGCTCCCGGAGGCTGACAGCCAGCACCAAGGCCTGCAGGAGACCAAAGAGGCAGGCGAAGTGCAAAGGGTGGGCAGTAAGTAGGCTCAGAACAGCATGGAGCCCATGCAGGGCAGCCAGGAAGGACAGTAGGCCATGTAGCCAGAGGCCCAGCGGTCCACGCAGGCCCAGTGTGTCCAAGGCTGCCCGCAGTGGTCGTGAGCACAGGGCCAGCAGGGCAGAGGCCAGCAGCTCCAGAAGATGCAGGGTCAGGTTGGTGGAGATCTGCAGACACTCTTCTGGGCCCCCCAAGTACCGGGAGGGAGCTCCTGGTTCCCCCCGCAGCCAGCCCAACAGCTTCTCACGCCTACCAGGTTTCTCCAATGGGGCTCCTGGCCCAGGGACGCTCAGTCCCCCTTCAGGGGACACCCCTGGTCTCCTGGTGCCACCTGAATCCACATGATCCCATCTGAGTTTGGGACTGGCCCCTCCAGCCTCCAGTCTCCCAGACTCTTGAGTGCTAGAGATAGGCTGGTCCCACTTGAGGGAATCCATTCTTTTGCTCCCTAGCTGCTCAACTTGGGGCTCCTCCTTGCTTGGTTCGGAAGCAGCCCCAGAAACCCTCAATGCCCCCGAGTCCTTAGTCTTGGGATGCCCCACATCTTCCATGGTTTCTGGGGCACTATCCCAGTCACTTCCTGAATTCTCCGAGGAGCTGTCCACCCGTCTGGGTTCTGGGTAAGGCGGGTCAGGCCTCATTGGTTTCCGGCGGCCCCAAGGGCGAGGTAGCCAGCCACCAAGCCGTCGCAGGAACATGGCTGGGGTGTGTAATGGGCCCCCAAATTCTGAGGCTGCTTCCTGGCACTACTCAGACTCTCAGGATCTCCTCAGAAGCCAGAGTCTTTCTGGCTCAGAACAGGTATTTGCCTGGTGATGCAGTCCTACTCTGAATTCAGAAGTGGCTCCTCCCTTCTCTGAATAGTCATGCAGCCTCAAGTGTGGCAAGTAGTTTGCTTCCTCTTCAGTTCTGGGGTAAAGGGGGGCATACCCAAATTCATTCACCATCCACACCCCCACAATCTGAGATTCCAAGAATCTCAGATCTGACAAGGCCTGGGTCACCACCAGAGAGTCCTCTCTGCGTTTCCGGATTTCCTTCCCAGCAGGCAGCACCCCAAGTTTCACTCACCAAGGCCACACCCCAAGGTGTCCCAGAAACTGGGGAGGCAGTGCTCCATCCAATAAAGCGGGCAGGAAGGTGGCCCCAGGTCCTAGGTGCTCCTGGATCGTGTAGTCTTTAACTGCTGCCCCAAGGGACCTCAAGGAATAGGAATTCTCTTTGTTAGGAGGTGGAATGAAAGTGTCCAGCAAACTCCAGCCAGCAGCGTTCGTCCCTTGATTTAGAGGGCTATGATTTCTACAAAGTGGCCCGACTGGCCCGCGAACACGCAGCAGAGACGCGGCCTCCACAAGGTCAGAACTAAGATGTCCTCAGAGATCCCCAGTTACGAAGCAAAGCGCGGGCCTACTTCGGGACCTACGCGTCCGGGCGCTGTGCGCGGGGACCGCTCCCGGGCCCAGCGTCGGGGCCGCGGCCTTGGGGAGCCGCCGGGAGCCGCGAAGCCCGGAAGCAGCTGCACCAGGACTGGAAGGACCCGCGGGGGCGGTGCCGCAGCTCATGGGGCGGACCCTGCGAATAGACCGCCCCCGTATACCCCGCGCTGTCTGTGCGCGCCGGACCGCCAAACCGAGATTAGCAAGGACCAGGACCTTAATATAAACCCAGCTCCCCATTTTCCCGGGTTTCTCATGCTTCCCTAAACTCGGTCGCCCCCTACAGCCCCCTGCCCCTGGGTTCTTTTCCACATCCCCCACCACTCCTCCATTTCGCATCCAAGACTTCATGAAAGGCTTTCCCAGAAAAGAAAAAATGAGGAGTCTTGCGACTTGAACAGCCCTCCCCTGCCCGTCTGCAAATTTGAATTCCTGGATTTCACAACAGTGAGCTCTTCTTGTGCCTACCACCCGGCATGAGCAAGACAAGGGGGTGGGTGGTGGGAGAGTGGGGAAGTGTGGGAAAGAAAAGTGTAGACAAATGGGTGGAACAAAGAAGTTTAAAGTTTAGATTTGGGGGCTAGAGTTCTGGTCCCAGTTCAACTAAGTGTACAAGCTTGATAATCGTGGGCCTTCCTATCACACTGGCCTCTTCCAGCAAAACCCTACCCATTCTCATCTCTAGAGGCCTTGACTTCCCTTATCACCCTGCATTATAATATTTGATAACATGGGCCGGGAGTGGTGGCTCATGCCTGCAACCCCAGCACTTTGGGAAGCCGAGGCCGGCGGATCACCTGAGGTCGGGAGTTCAAGACCAGCTTGGCCAACATGGAGAAACCCCGTCTCTACTAAAAATACAAAATTAGCTGGGCGTGGTGGGGCATGCCTGTAATCCCAGCTACTGGGGAGGCTGAGGCAGGAGAATCCCTTGAACTCGGGGGGCAGAGGTTGTGGTGAGCCGAGATCATGCCATTGCACTCCAGCCTGGGCAATGAGAGCGAAACTGCATCTCAAAAAAAAAAGAAAAAAATTGATAACATGGCACTTTCCCTCTCCAGCTGTGAACTCTTTGAGGGTTGGGAATGTCTTTACCTGTATTCTTGGCACATAGTATATGGACTTATGTTTGTGAAATCAGTGAATTGGCTGTAGTCAGGGAACTCCTCCTGGGGGAAGTGAGACTTGCACGAAGCTGGGCAATTCTTGGTCCAGGGGGGTTGAAAGAATAGGTGGGGGACTCCCAGGAGGGTCTGGGACCTGAAAGTGAACCCAGATTGGCAGGGAGGTGACCTTATCATGCCACCTGGAGAGGCTGCCCCTTCTGACTCAGGTGGGACTTGCATGTGGCTCCCAGGCTTCTGTTTGGCTTCCTCAAAATAGCTTCCAGAAAAGTGAATAAACCACAAATGGTTGATTTATTTCTGACTCTCAGCCCGTCTCTCACGAAGACAGAGCCTATTGACCAAAAACTTCAGGATCTGCATCTGAGCAGATCCCAGGAAGGGGAAGTCAAAGGGCCCAGGTCAGAGGCCCAAGTTCAGACTTCAGCAGCAGACTAGGGTCAGACTTTACCAAAGTCAGAACTCGAGGTTCATGTAAGTCCTTAGATCCCGCTCCCAAGCCCTGTCTTTCTCCTCCCTCCTTCTCTCCTCCCTCCAGCTCAGTGTGGCCACCCGAGGGGGTCTCTCCCTCCCAGCCACAGCTCGGGTATCCCAAGCTGGGAAATGTGTCACTCGGGGCTGGGGTGCTGATCTGTAGCCTAGTCCTTCCTGGTCCCTCTTGAGGACAGTGGGGATGGGATTGGCACGGCCCTCACCCCGGGGTCCCAGCCCCATTCCTGGCTCCCAGCCCCCCCTCAGCAGCAGTTTGAAGCCCGGGCTGGAGATGGGCACCCCAAGTGGAAGGTTGGGAGGCTGAGGACCCTGCGACAGTGACAGCAGGTGAGCAGTGGATGTGCGGTGGTTGGA
Organism: Homo sapiens; assembly: GCF_000001405.40. NCBI lineage: Eukaryota > Metazoa > Chordata > Mammalia > Primates > Hominidae > Homo > Homo sapiens. The sequence goes on from NT_167246.2 coordinate 2,967,703, forward strand.
ATCTTGGAAGTGGGTGTCACAGTTCTCGCAGTACTGGAGGGAGGGAGTAGGAGACCTGCAGAGAAAGAAGAAAAAGCATTAAGGGCAGGGGAAGGAAAAGGGGAAGAGTTGAGGCCTCAGAGGGGGCTGGCAGGGTAGAATAGGATCTTTTCAGCTTTTCTGCTAAGGAACAAATTGCCAGCTAGGCATAGTGGCTCACGCCTGTAATCCCAACACTTTGGGAGGCAGAGGCGGGCAGATGGCTTTGAGCTCAGGAGTTTGAGACCAGCCTGGGCAAAATGGCAACGCCTGCTTTTTTTTTTTTTTTTTTTGAGATGGAGTCTTGCTCTGCTGCCCAGGTTGGAGTGCAGTGCCATGATCCTGGCTCACTGCAACTTCCACCTTAGCGATTCTCCTGCCTCAGCCTCCCAAGTAGCCGGGATTACAGGCACATGCCACCATGTCCCGGCAAAGCCTGCTTTCTACAAAAAATATGCTTGAGCCCAGGAAGCGGAGGTTGCAGTGAGCTGAAATCACACCATTGCACACCAGCCTGGGCGACAGAGTGAGATGAGTGAGACTTTGTCTCAAAAAAAAAAAAAAAAAAAAAAGGGACAAATTGCCTTCCTTCCTACTTAACAGTGAGGGATCCAGGCTGGTCCAAAGGTGGTGGTGAGTTATCTGAATTAATTGTTCACTCAGTTACAGATCAAACTCCTTACTCCACTTTTCCCCTCCTTCTCACTACTGCACTTGACTTGTCTTAAAAACAAATTTCTTTAAACCATTGTGGGATCCAGAGCAGAATAGTTGAAAGAAAAAAATGGTAACCAGACCTAGCAAACTCTTGGGCAAGGGGAGGGACATTAGTCATAATGACTATAGCTAACATTCATGTATTGCATACTATGCGGCATGCACTATTCTAGCATTTTACATATATTAACCCATTGAATCCTAACAACAATTCTTACTACCCCCATTTCTAAGATGAGAAAACTGGAACATGTAGACATTAGGTTGTTTGCCCAAGTAAGTGGAATCAGGCTTTAAATCCAGGGAGCTCATGTTTATAACCACTTGACTATACTACCCTGTCAACCTACACATGAGGATAAGGAAAGAACTCTTCAGCACTGTGCTGGGGCGTCTGGTGTGGTGTGGCTGGGAGAGGCAGAACACAATGAGACATGGGTCTGAGCTAAAGTTTCCCCTTACCGGTTTTCCGGGCTCCTTGTCTCTCCATGGCTCTCCCTGACCATGCGGGCTACCTCAGGGAAGCCAGCTTCTTCAGCGAGCTGAGCCGCATCCCTGCCACTCAGCTCACAGACCCCCACCCAGGCAGCCCCACGGCCCAGGAGATAGCTCACAGCTGCCCCCTGGCCCGCTCGAGCAGCACACATCAGTGGGGTCCACCAGAAGGCATCCCGGGCGTTGATATTCCCCCCAGCTCCTCCTGCCTCATGCGGTTCCAGCAGTCTCCTAAGTTCTGGCAGGTCCCCCTCCTGGGCTGCCCTCAGTATCCGGTGAGTCATCTTATCCTCAGCCTCAAGGGATCTCCCTTGTCCATGTCTTCCTGATGCTCCTTCTGCCACTGCTTCTGCTGCTGGTGCCTTCATTATTCTTCTTTTCTTTCTCTTTCTTTCTCTGGCAGGTTCAGTCTGAGATCTCTGGGAGTCAGGAGCGCTGCTCTCATCCCCAATCAGGGCCTCATAGAAAGCTCGGGCTGCAGCCCCATCCAGGGTGGACTCTGGCTTCTCGGGCTGTGGCTGCTGCTGCCCATCCTTCCAGAGGTCGCTGGGGTCAGTGGCTGGGGTGAAGGTGATGAGCAAGGGCCGGGACATGGCTTTTGGGAGAACTGAGAAAATGATACCAGGCAAGGGAAGGATGAGACAAGTAAGCCAAGCTCGTGGTGACCCTGTAGCAACCACAGCCTCAGAGACCTGCTGGGATGAGAAAAAGTAGTCAAAAACACTTTCCTGCCACTAAAGTAACCCCACAACTTAGGACTCTGCAGGGCCTAAGGGAGAGAGACTTTGCGTAAAAACATGGAACCCTACAATACCGACTTTGCTCCTTAGTAAAGATTAATAAAACTCCATGAGACTGTTGTCCAGAGGTCCTGCGTCCGGCCCCCACCCCCATCCTCACCAACAATAAACACCAGCCTCTTTCTGAAACCACTTTCCCACCCCGTAAGACATACCAGTAGGAAAAAAAAATCAGCCTGGCCCTTTAAGTCTTCCGCGATCCCATTTCGGAGTTTCCTCTTCCCAAACAAAAATAGATGGGTCACTCCCTAGAAGATCTCGGGGAGAGTCTCCTATACGTGTTGCTGTGTAGCTTCCGTACCGCAAAATGGCGCCATTCTAATCAGAAGAGTTGACACAATCAAATAGCCACACGGCACGAAGACGCATGCGTGGCGACAACAACAACAAAAACCACAACCCACATTACTTGAGGGCTCGGGCGTGCGCAAAGCTCCGGGTTCAGTTTCCCGCGCTGGAACTTTTTCAATAGTAAACGAGCAAAGCTCCGCGCGCCCAGGTGGCGCGAGCACTAGGATCTGTCGGTTGGGGTCCTACTTTTACATAACGCCCCCACAATGCCCTTCGCCTTCCTCAACGTGGCCCCCGCTCCAAGCCCATTTTCTGGAGCCAGGAATCCACTCTGTGGGTTAGGAAAGGCCCTCAGGAGGCGGAGGGAAACCTGTGGAATGCCGAGAAGCCGTGTAATGAAATAACGTCACGCCTGCCCCTCACCATTACTCTGACCAGGGTTCGAAGGTCACACTTAGAGCCTAAGGGGAAATGGAGAAGTGCAAAGGGACGAGCAGAATGGCTGGCACCACCTCAGGTTAGCGCACTGGGACGTTCCAGTTCTCACACCGCCCACCCCACCCCACCCAAGTCCCTACGCACGGAGCCAAGCCGCACCTCTCCCCTCATGAGGCAGGAGCCCGGAGGAAACAGTATGCCCGTCAAGGGTCTCTGGCGGGACTGATTCGCACTAGGGGCCCAACAGGCAATAAGGACCCAGCGGATTGGCCGAGGATAGGCCAGTCCCCTGGGCAGCAGCGCCGCGCCGGGACTAGAGGGGAACGTGAGGAGAGCTGCGGAAAGAGATCCAGCCTGGCTCCCTCCTTTCCCCGCCCTAAGTCAGCCTCTTCACCCAGTGAGCACAAAACTGTATTGCCCAGACTCCCGGGCCCCGAACGCCATACCTGGCTTCCGCTTCCGGTGGCTTCTCGTTGTGCCCCGCCCGCAAGCGCCCTCCTCCGGGCCTTCGTGACAGCCAGGTCGTGCGCGGGTCATCCTGGGATTGGTAGTTCGCTTTCTCTCATTTAGCCAGTTTCTTTCTCTACCGGGGACTCCGTGTCCCGGCATCCACCGCGGCACCTGACCCTTGGCGCTTGCGTGTTGCCCTCTTCCCCACCCTCCCTAATTTCCACTCCCCCCACCCCACTTCGCCTGCCGCGGTCGGGTCCGCGGCCTGCGCTGTAGCGGTCGCCGCCGTTCCCTGGAAGTAGCAACTTCCCTACCCCACCCCAGTCCTGGTCCCCGTCCAGCCGGTGAGTCTGAAGTCGTCGCTGCTCCGAGTCCCTTGTCGCTGGGAGCGGCACATGGGGTCTCCGGACTTTGATGTGGGGGCGGGGGAGGAAGCGACCAGGTCCGGCACGAAGGAGGGAGAGGTGGCCTGAGGAGCGGAGGGGGGATGTGTGGATTCCGGTGAAAGGGACCTGACAATCGCCCCCAACCCGTGAGAAAAGGAGGAGCCCAGTTCTTGCTTGAGAATGATAAACTTGGAAACCCTTGGGAAAGGCGTGGGGGTCATGCAGAGACTTGTATTGGTAGGGAGCCTGAGTCGAGGTCCCTGCCGGAGTTGACACAGAGGAGAGAGGGCCCTGGCCTTCGGGAGCTCCAGGGATGTGGGTCGGGCTGGTGGGTCAAAGTATCTGTTGGCTTCTTTCAAGTGGTGGGACCCCAAAGAATGTTTAACTTCAAAGAAAAGGGGCTGAGATGTAAATTAGAGGAGCTGGAGAGGAGTGCTTCAGAGTTTGGGTTGCTTTAAGAAAGGGTGGTTCCGAATTCTCCCGTGGTTGGAGGGCCGAATGTGGGAGGAGGGAGGATACCAGAGGCAGGGAAGGAGAACTTGAGCTTTACTGACACTGTTCTTTTTCTAGCTGACGTGAAGATGAGCAGCTCAGAGGAGGTGTCCTGGATTTCCTGGTTCTGTGGGCTCCGTGGCAATGAATTCTTCTGTGAAGTGAGTTCTCTTCAACCTCCCTACTTGCCAGCTTCACATATCTTCCCACCAGACGTTCCTTCACATATTCCACTTCTACACTGTTCTCTTACATGCTATTTGAAAACTTCCTATCAGCAAAGAGTCCCCCCTATAAACCCCGACGAACCTGTGCTAAAGTGGCAAAACTGGGGCCCAAGTCCTGAGTCTGCCACCGTCCAGCAATATAACGTTGGGCTAGTCAATTTGTGTCTTTTTCTTTTTTTTGAGACTGGGTCTCACTCTGTCACCGAGGCTGGAGGGTAGTGGTGCGATCTCGGCTTACTGCCACCTCTGCCTCCCAGGTTCAAGCGATTCTCCTGCTCCAGCCTCCCAAGTAGCTGGGATTACAAGTGCCTGCCACCATGCCTGGCTAATTTTTGTATTTTTAGTAGAGACAGGGTTTCACTATGTTGGCCAGGCTGGTCTCGAACTCCAGACCTCAGGTGATCTGCCTGCCTCGGCCTCCCAAAGTGCTGGGATTACAGGCGTGAGCCATTGCGCCCGGCCTGTATCTTTTGTTACTAAAGTGGCACTGCTAGTACTTGTCTCAGGTGGCCTTTAGGAAAACTGAAATGCTACACATTGAAATGTTTTGTTCAGAAACCATGCTGTTCAGCTTCCACCTTCCTTAGCCAGCTGAGAGGACAAAACTGGTTCCTAGAGACGGGATACAGGAGTGGAGTAGGGACAAAGATCTTGAAAAGAATGTCTAAGAAAAAGATTGCTGTATCTACTTATCCTTAGAAAAGAAAAGCCAAAGCTTTTATGGGAGAGAGTGTAGGTGAACTAGGGAGAGACACAAGTACTTCTGCTGAGTTGGGAGTGAGAAACAAGCACAACAGATGCAGTTGTGTTGATGATAAGGCATCACTTAGAGCATTTTGCCCAGGTCAAAGATGAGGATTTTGATATGGGTTCCCTCTTGGCTTCCATGTCCTGACAGGTGGATGAAGACTACATCCAGGACAAATTTAATCTTACTGGACTCAATGAGCAGGTCCCTCACTATCGACAAGCTCTAGACATGATCTTGGACCTGGAGCCTGGTGAGGCACCCTCAGGGTTGTTTTGTGTGTGTGCGTGCACTATTTTTCTCTTCAAATCTCTATTCACTTGCCTGAATTTTGAAATTTCCTTTGGTTCTCTGATTTCTTTAACCCCAAATTCATGCTTTATTTTGATCCTCCACCTGACTCTTGTCTAGTTTTGTGACGTATATCACTTGTTCTCATGTTTTCTAAATCCGCAATTCAGACCTATTCCAAAATGCGTTTCCTCATGGGTCTGGTTTGTTGTCTGTTTCTCCTGCTTTGCACCTTCCAGTCTAGAGTTTCATCTTCTGCATTGACATTGTTGCAGTTATGTATTGAGGAGGGAGTTGGGAGGGAGAGCAAGGAGCAGAGGCTGAAAAGGTGTGAAGGGAAGGCAGAGCTGTCTTCGTTTGATGCAAGGGTCAGAAGCCCAGGTTTCTGGGTCCCATGCCCAGATGTTGGATGGGGTAAGGCCCAAAAGTAGGTGCTAGGCAAACTGAATAGCCCGCAGCCCCTGGATATGGGCAGGGCACCTAGGAAAGCTGAAAAACAAGTAGTTGCATTTGGCCGGGCTGTGTTTCAGATGAAGAACTGGAAGACAACCCCAACCAGAGTGACCTGATTGAGCAGGCAGCCGAGATGCTTTATGGATTGATCCACGCCCGCTACATCCTTACCAACCGTGGCATCGCCCAGATGGTGAGGCCTCTCTGCTCCTACCTGCCTCCTTCTGAGCAGTAAGAGACACAGGTTCCTGCAGCAAGAAGTCATGTTTAAGCCCTGTTTAAGGAAGCTAGCTGAGAAGAGGGGAAGAACCCCAGAACTTGGGCCTGGGAATTGAATTCTGATTGGGGGTCATCCTGAAGGGATTGTTTTCAGGGAGGGAGACAGACCTTGAATCAGAGAGTTGTGATAGACTGCCTCTTCCTCAAGGAACAAACAACAAATGGCTCTGATGGTTTGTAGCCTGCCTAATTGGAAGAAAGGCAACACAGAAGTTTGAGAGCCCATCTAGTCCAGAGAAGGGGCCTCTGGACAGAGGTGGGAGGAGTGGGGGACAGAGTGGTATGGGTTGGGCTGCGAAGGGAGTTGCCTCTTCTTTACATCTACCTGCCAACCCCTTCCATTGTATTCACCTCAGTTGGAAAAGTACCAGCAAGGAGACTTTGGTTACTGTCCTCGTGTGTACTGTGAGAACCAGCCAATGCTTCCCATTGGTGAGTGTTGAAGAAGGGAAAGGAAAGCACCGTGTGGCAGTCTTATGGGAAGGAGTTGGGGCTCAACACATTGGAGCCTGAGTCCTGAGGGGAGGTTAGGTAGGAATAGGGGGATACCTGGCCTGCTGAGTCTGGCTGTCTCCCAGGCCTTTCAGACATCCCAGGTGAAGCCATGGTGAAGCTCTACTGCCCCAAGTGCATGGATGTGTACACACCCAAGTCATCAAGACACCATCACACGGATGGCGCCTACTTCGGCACTGGTTTCCCTCACATGCTCTTCATGGTGCATCCCGAGTACCGGCCCAAGAGACCTGCCAACCAGTTTGTGCCCAGGTAGGGAGCAGGGAGAGTCATTAAGGGTCAAAGGAAAGGCCCAAGATCCCCCAGAGAGGGGAGGACAGGGCATGGCCCTTTCTTGAGGTCTGCTTCTCCCAGAATCAGGGCATCTCCCTGCTGAGTGACTGTGGGAAAGTTATTTGATTATCTGTGCTTGAGTTACCTTATTGTAGAATGTTCTTGAGCTGAGAAGTTGGGAACCACGAGGCTTTAGCTCTGAGCAGGTCCATAGAGGAGCTCAGGTGGGGAGGTGGGAATGCAGGTGACTGGCAGGGCCTGGATGGGGCTCATGCTGCTGCCTCTCTGACCTCTGCCCTGGCCTAGGCTCTACGGTTTCAAGATCCATCCGATGGCCTACCAGCTGCAGCTCCAAGCCGCCAGCAACTTCAAGAGCCCAGTCAAGACGATTCGCTGATTCCCTCCCCCACCTGTCCTGCAGTCTTTGACTTTTCCTTTCTTTTTTGCCACCCTTTCAGGAACCCTGTATGGTTTTTAGTTTAAATTAAAGGAGTCGTTATCGTGGTGGGAATATGAAATAAAGTAGAAGAAAAGGCCATGAGCTAGTCTGCTGGTGCTTGCTGTTGGGGAAGGGAAGGTGATGGTGTGTTGGACTCCAGGGGCCCTCATGGCCCAGCCCACCCTCCCCAGATTGAAAACCAGGACAGATTTGTGCTCAGTGGATTGGGTGGTGTTTTTAGTATGGAGCAGAACAGAATTCCTAGGACTGCGTGTGATGAAATGCAAGGTCAAAAGGAAAAGACAAAGCATATTTCAAAGATGAGAAATATTTGTTTGGATATCTATGACTGTCTGTTTATACTGTAAGGGGCTTAATCAGCAGCTCCATCTTTTAGTTTTAGTTCTAAAGGAAAAGTAGCCTAAAGTCAGTATAACTAAAGGGTGGAACGAGGTGGGACAAGGTCCGGAATTGCTGCTCAGTGATGTGTGTGTGCCTGCCGCTGGTGGAGCTGAGACTGCTCATCTCAGAAGGATGGGGATGCTTGATTTCCTGGCCAGGTTGTCCCAGCACAGTGGGGATTGGCCCTGTTGTATGACGAAGACAGCACATGGTGGCAGAGATAGATACTAACCCATGGACTTTCCAAGGGAGGGAATAGGTCTTTGGAGGGTATGCAAGACAAAGGTAGACACTGGATAAAGAACCCGGTAGTGCCCAGGTATTACCCCATCTGGGCCATTACTCCCACACTCAGGAACCAGACGTTGTGGGTGAGGACATGCTGTCCCTCCTGCCAAGTAATAACTTCCTTCCCAGCCAGGATCCTGCCCCAAGTAGGAATATAGCTCTGCATTTACAGCAGCTCCTGCTCAGACCTTGTCAAAACCACCCTGCAGCTTAGGATTAAGGAGCATGGTCACAGGAAGGTGGGGTTTCAGGGCATCCCCTCAGGAACTGCCCATCTCCCCAGAATTCCAAAATGAAGGTCCATATGCTTGTAGGTGTGCTGGTCATGGTGGGCTTCACAGTAGGAAAGGGTAAGTGGGGCCCAGGGGCAGGGAGGGAGGAAGGGGTAACTGAGTCCAGGAAGGGGGTGGAGCGTGGCCATGGATAATCGGGCTTCCTACTGGCCCAGGGTATTTGAGAGTGACCCAGTGCCTCCATCCCTCCTTCTGCCTCCCCAGTTCCTGTTCCCGACATCCGGACGTGCCACTTCTGCCTCGTAGAAGACCCTTCTGTAGGATGCATTTCAGGCTCAGAGAAGTGTACCATCAGCAGCTCATCCCTGTGCATGGTGATCACCATCTATTATGGTAAATAAGGTCCCAGGAAGGGGCTGCTGGTGGGGCAGCCAATGGCTTGGTCTTCTCTCCTCTCACAGATCAGGGCTGCTCCGGGCATGGGGTACAAGAAGAGAGGAGGGGCTGAGTGCAATGGCTCATGCCTGTAACCCTAGCACTTTGGGAGGCTGAGGCAGGTGGATCACTTAAGCTCTAGAGTTCAAGACCAGCCTAGGCAACATAGTGAGACCCTGTCTCTACAAAAAAATAGCCAGGCATGGTGGTATGCACCTGTAGTCCCAGCTACTCGGGAGGCTGAGGTGGGAGATCTCTTAAACTCAGGAGGCATAGGTTGCAGTGAGCCAAGATTGCGCCACCATGCTCCAGCCTGGGTAACAGAGCTAGACCCTGTCTCAAAAAAAACCAGAAGAATCTTGGAAGGAGGGGTCTAAGGTTCTAGGGGGCCAGCAGAGCTCACTTTTCTAGCCTCTTGAAGGACTCTGGGTTAGAAGTAAATTAGGTCTGGGTGAAGGATGGGAAAAGTCAGTAGCAGGGGTTCTTGGACTATGGGAAGCTATTGGAAGGGGTTATCAGCTTTCCCCTCTCCCTCAGATGTCAAGGTTCGCTTCATCGTTCGAGGCTGTGGACAGTACATTTCCTACCGCTGCCAAGAAAAACGCAACACCTACTTTGCAGAGTACTGGTATCAGGCCCAGTGCTGTCAGTACGATTATTGCAACTCCTGGTCAAGCCCCCAACTCCAGAGCTCTCTGCCGGAGCCCCATGACAGGCCCCTGGCCCTGCCTCTGTCTGACTCCCAGATTCAGTGGTTCTACCAGGCCCTGAACCTCTCCCTGCCCCTCCCCAATTTCCATGCTGGGACGGAGCCTGATGGCCTGGACCCCATGGTCACACTGTCCCTGAACCTGGGCTTGTCTTTTGCTGAGCTGCGCCGCATGTACTTGTTCCTCAATAGTTCAGGACTTTTGGTTCTTCCCCAGGCTGGACTCTTGACACCTCACCCTTCCTGAATTCCACAGTGCAAATATCTTTCTGTAACACCCTCAGCATCCTGCACTGCCCTCTCTGAAAACACCCACATTCTTTGGTCACTGTGATTTCTTAGGCCTCCGTCTGTTGTACCACTAGCATCTATATGACTTTTGTGTAATTTTCTCTCTTGAACTCTGGTGCTGTTTTTTTGTTTGTTTGAGACAAAGTCTCGCTCTGTCACCCAGGGTGGAGTGCAGTGGCATGATCTCTGCTCACTACAACCTCCACCTCCCGGGTTCCAGCGATTCTCCTGCCTCAGCCTCCCGAGTAGCTGGGACTACAGGCGTGCACCACCACGCCTGGCTAATTTTTTGTATTTTTAGTAGAGACGGGGTTTCACCATGTTGGTCAGGCTGGTCTCGAACTCCTGACCTCGTAATCTGCCCTCCTCGACCTCCCAAAGTGCCGGGATTACAGGTGTGAGCCACTGTGCCTGTCTGAGCTCTGGTGCTGTTCTTCCCCCTAGAAAAGAATCTCTAGTGTGGATTCTGCCCAGACAGGCTGACCTGAGAAAGGCACAGTGGTTCCTCCATTCCTTCCCCATCATCTGAGTGTTCCAGTATCCCCCATCCCTCTCAATCCAGTCACCTGCCTATTGACATCTAGCTCTGTTTCCCCTGTCTTGTCCATGTCTCTAAGACCCAGTACCAGACTGAACTAGCAGCAAGAAGGACGAGGAGGCCGGGCATGGTGGCTCACGCCGGTAATCCCAGCACTTTGGGAGGCCGAGGTGGGCGGATCACTTGAGATTGGGAGTTTGAGACCAGCCTGGCCAACATGGTAAAACCCGCTCTCTATTAAAAATAGAAAAATCAGCTGGGTGTGGTGGCACACCTCTGTAATCCCAGCTACTCAGGAGGCTGAGACAGGAGAATCACTTGAACCCGGGAGGCAGAGGTTGCAGTGAGCCGAGATCGCGCCACTGCACTCCAGCCTGGGTGACACAGTGAGACTCCGTCTCCAAAAAAAAGGATGAGGAATAGAATTCTGTGCAGATGTCCTGACTTGGCAATTTTGTGTCCCTGCCTCACTGTCTCCACCAACCCCCGCCTGTCCTAGTGTTGTTCTGCCTCCTGTCCTCTCTTGCTCTCTTGTCAGTCTCTGGCTTCCTCGGCCCCATTTCACTTCACTGAGTCCTGACACCCATCTCCCTAGGGGCCTGTGAGAGGAGAGGGAAGGGTCTGTTCTGCTCAGCTCCATGTCCCCCATTTTCCTCCACAATAAACTGGGACTGGGCTAAAACTGTGTCACATTGTTTGTGGGGTCAGGCTCAGGTGTGGGCAGGTAAACACAGATTAAAGAGGGTTAATGCCTGGCGCAGTGGCTCACGCCTGTAATCCCAGCACTTTGGGAGGCTGAGGCAGGCGGATCACCTGAGATTGGGAGTTTGAGACCAGCCTGACCAATATGGAGAAACCCCATCGCTACTAAAAATACAAAATTAGCCGGGCTTGGTAGCGCATACCTGTAATTACAGCTACTCGGGAGGCTGAGGCCGGAGAATCACTTGAACCTGGAAGGTGGAGGTGGCGATGAGCCGAGATTGCACCATTGCACTCCAGCCTGGGCAACAAGAGTGAAACTGTGTCTCAAAAAAAAAAAAAAAAAAAAGGGTTAGTGAGGTTTGGGATCCAAATAGGATTGCAGAGCCCTCTCCATTGCACTTGGCGTTTGTCGCTTCCTCTCGGCCTCCTGTAAAGGGCACACATCCCTCCCCACCCTCTGCTTAGCTGGAGATCAAAGCATGGGGACTGTGATTCTTCCCAGCCTTAAACATACCCTACAAAACCTGGAAAGTTAGACCCTGATGATGCCAGGTCTTTTCACCTAAGAAAAGAAACTTTAGGCCAGGTGCGGTGGCTCATGCTTGTAATCCCTGAACTTTGGGAGGCCGAGGTGGGTGGATCACCTGAGGTCGGGTTTGAGACCAGCCTGACCAACATGGTGAAATCTTGTCTCTACTAAATATGAAAAATTAGCTGGGCATGGTGGCTCATGCTTGTAATCCCAGCTACTTGGGAGGCTGAGGCAGGAGAATTGCTTGAACCGGGGAGGTGTAGGTTGCAGTGAGCTGAGATCACGCCATTGCACTCCAGACAGGGCAACAAGAGCGAAACTCTGTCTTAAAAAAAAAAAAAAAAGCCTGGGCGCGGTGGCTTGCCTGTAATCCCAGCACTTTGGGAGGCCGAAGCAGGCGGATCATGAGGTCAGGAGTTCGACACCAGCCTGACCAACATGGTGAAAGCCCATCTCTACTAAAAAAAAAAAAAAAAAAATTAGTTGGGCATGGTGGCACGTGTCTGTGATCCCAGCTACTCAGGAGGCTGAGGCAGGAGAATCGCTTGAACCTGGGAGGCAGAGTTTGCAGTGAGCCGAGATCGTGCCACTGTACTCCAGCCTGGGTGACAGACCGAGACTGTCTCCAAAAAAAAAAAAAAAGAAACTTTCTCTTTAAACCAGAAAGACTCAGGAACTCAGAGCCACATGCCAGAGTTACCTGCTGCTGGGGCCCTGGACTCCTGCCATTCCTTAGTTCTTTTCAAGGATTCTGGCATCCAGGATGCCCTCTCGAGGGGCCCAATTTGAGGGGCAAAGTGCTGAGAGCACTGATGTTGGGCTGCAGTGGTTGGATCTTCATGCTAATATTTTAATTTTGAAATAGTGCAAACGTATAGAAAGCAAGGATGGATACAACAGCCTTTTCCATACACTGGATAAACATGCTGGACATAACGCTGCTCTGAGTCAGGCTTGGTATTGAGCAGCAGGACTCCCAGATGAGTATAGCCAGGTGTCTGCCCTTCCAAGTCTTGCAGCCCAGTGCTTGGGTTATGAAACCTTTTTCTGAAAAGCAGTGCAGCTTTGTGGCTGGGAGGTCCAATCCCAGCCCCTCTACCACTTGGATATGTCAGTCTCTTCAGCCCCACCTTGGTCACCTGTCAAGTAGGGATAGTGCCTCAGATGATTGAGAAAACACATGTAAATGTGCATACACAAGTAGAAGTTAAGGCCTTTTCCCCCTCAAAAAAATATATTTGCCCTAGAGTCAAATGCATACACAATGTTCAGCTTTTTTTTCTAAGGTTCTTACTATGTTGCCCAAGCTGGCCTTGAACTCCTGGGCTCAAGAGATTCTTCTGCCTCAGCCTCCAAGTAGCTGGGACTACAGATGCACACCACCATGCTCACCTGGCTGATTTACTTATTTTCAAACCTTTTTGGTAAAACATTCAGAAGCTTGCACATATCACAAGATGGATTTTTGTAAACCACACATCTGTGTAACCAGCCACCAAATCAGCGTGAAGACCTTTACCTGCAGCCAAGCCTGCCTCTGTTCCCCTCTCCCAGGTGCTCTTCCCAGCTCTGGGGTAGCCGCTGTCCTGACTGGTAGTAGCTTAGATGAGTTCTGTCTGTGCTTGATGGAAATGGCATCGTACGCATCTGCTTTTACCTATATAGTGTTTTGCACACGTGTTAACAAATCTGTGTGGCCTGTACTCTGACGGAAAATACCAAACCAATGATAATTAAGTCATGAGGCAGTTGGCGTACAAAGAGAGGTACAAACCCTTAATGTGCCCCCCAACCCCCACCTTGCTAAGTCCACCCTTCTCCATGACCTCTGACGTCAGTATAAGACAGAGAAAGGCCCAGGTTTATAGCAGGTCAACCTGGAAGACACCCTCAGAGGCTGAAGAACTTGGCCCAGAATTGAAGAGACCAGGACTCCAATAAGGTCTAACATCTCTTTGAGAGTGGCCTTCTCGGCTCGGGGTGACTCACGCCTGTAATCCCAGCCCTTTGGGAGGCCAACGCAGGCAGATCACTTGAAGTCAGGAGTTCGAGACCAGCCTGGCCAACTGGTGAAACCCCGTCTCTACTAATAAAATATAAAAATTAGCCAGGTGTGGTGGCATGTGCTTGTAATCCCAGCTACTCGGGAGGCTGAGGCAGAAGAATCACTTGAACCTGGGAGGCAGAAGTTGCAATGAGCCAAGATCACACCACTGCACTCCAGCCTAGGTGACAGTGAGACTGTCTCAAAAAAAGAGTGGCCTTCTCACCCACCTCCTTCTACCTGGGCCTGGTCCTTTCGCAGCCCCCTTCCCACCAACATAGCCCTCTAAACGCCCCTAGCCCCCACACAGCTCTGGTCTGACAGCACTGCCGAGGATGCCCACTAACTTTCTGGCATTCACCATAGGAGGGCTTTCATTTCCTCTTTCTCTTTTTGTGTCTAGAGCAAATCACATACCAAGGCAGGACAAGAGGACAGCTCAGCAGAGCTGGGGGTCCCTTACCTGACCCATGGTAGGGCAGTTAGGCAGGTGCACCTCCCTCAGCCTTCACCTCCACCAGAAGAAAGAGACATACCAAACAGTTTACACACAAATTTATTTGGGAGAAACATCCAGGGACTAGGGGACAAGAGAGGAAACCTGGTGGGCAGTAGGGCTGGGGGTACAGAGTAGCAGTAAGTGTGCTGAAGGGCGTCAACCAAGAGGAAGAGCCAAGGCTGGGGTCCAGTGGCTGGAGGGAGGCAAGGAGGGCTGGTATGAGGGACTAGAAGTCCTGGCCAAGCCCAGATAGAAGTCAGGAAGGTGGCTGGAAACTGGTGGAATTTTACACCAAAGTTTGCTGCAGTCACACTAAGGAGTATAGAGCCCTCTGTTTTGAGGGTCATTGCAGAAATCCAGGAAGCAGTATTGAGAGAATATCCAGAAGCCAGACACCGGAGAAGTTCGGGTATTTGAACAATCACTCATCTGCTCCTTACTTCGGCAGTCACTCACCATGACGTCAGAACCGCTGCCTGGGGAGGGACAGTGGGCACCAGTGATACGGAAGTCCCCAGGAAGAGCCCCAAATCCTCTCATCCCCACACTCATAAGTCAAAAAAAAAAGAAAAAGAAAAGATTCCTGTAGTTAGGCATGGGTGGACATGCCCAGTGTTCACCAGCCATGGAACTCCACTGAAGTTCCCATGCAAGGCTGGAGGAAAAGAGCCATATGAAATGTAATGGTTGGAGGGGGAGTTGGGAGTTACTGAGCCAAGTGAGGAGAACTAGCACCATAGGACCATGTGAGAAAAAGCTGGGAAATGTTTTGGAGATTGGGTGGCAGGAAGGAGGTGTATTGTTATTTATTTTTCAGACCAAAAGAGAATAAGATGATGTCTGCTGCTGTTATACATAATAGAGAAAAATCTTTGTGCCTGCATCCCAAGAAGTCATGTTCAGGGATGTTTGCTGCTGCCCTGCTTGAGAGAAATGACCAAAATGCCCATCAATAGTGGGATGGGGAAATCAGCTGTGATATGCGCATGCTATGGAGTAGTATACAGCAGGTCAATAAAACAAGGAAGCTGTTTACAAACTGATATCGGAACATTCAGTTCCCCTAACTTAAATGTGGAATAATGTTTACAGTGGGATGCTACTATCTTGGGTTGGGGCGGGGGAAGAGGTGAAAAAATAGTAAACAGCATATTTGTGCAGGGTGGAATGTGCATAAAAGATTGCAGGAGGGATCATCCAGAAAGTAAAAAAAGTGGTCACATGTGCAGGGGAGCCAGGTGGGTTAGGGTAGTAGCGGGAGACTTTGGTTTGATGGTATTGTATACTCTGATATTTGACCCACATCTGTGCATCGGCTATGTTAAAAGGGTAGTAAGAGGACTTGAACACAGGCAGCTGCATGCAGTGGTTGTTGAGAGCACCATCTCTGGAGCCATCACAAATTCTGGCTCAGCATCTGTGAGACTCAGGCAAGGTTATGACCTTTCTGCACCTGTTTCCTCATCTGTAAAATGCACATAGTAATAATACCTGCCTCAGCGGATTGCAAGTGTTTAGAACAGTGCCTAGCACATATTATGTGTTACGTTTTTGCTAACTTAAGAAAGGTGGGGGGTCGGTGGAAGAGCAGGCATCGGGAAGGAGTCAATTTTCAGCGAGGGAGATGTCCAGTGGTCAACGGGATATGAGGAGAGCGGTTTGACATAACATTCAGATTCAGAAGGAAGTGGTATGTGGCTGCTGGTTGAAGCCAGCAAAGCAGATAAAATCCTCTGCTTTTGAGTATATGAAGTGGGAAGACAGCTAAGGACCAAACCTTGGTGAACATGAACCACTAAGGGTCAGAGAGAAAACGCTCCATGAAGGAGACTGAAGAAGCCGTGGAGGATGCAGGAGAAGAGCAACACCAGCAGTAACTGCAGACAGATGCGGAAGCAGACAGCTTGAGGACAGGCAAGGGCACCTGGAGATCTGGAGGGTCCCCGTCAAAGCTGCGCACCTTGATAGGGTAGAAGCTATTCAGCTACAGATTGAGGAGAGAAGGTTAGTGGAAGTGGAGACAGAGTGTGGCTCTGAAGAAAAGGGAAGAGAGGCTGGGCACGGTGGCTCACGCCTGTAATCCCAGCACTCTGGGAAGCTAAGGTGGGTGGATCACCTGAGGTCAGGAGTTCGAGACCAGCCTGGCCAACATGGTGAATCCCCATCTCTACTAAAAATACAAAAAATTAGCTGGGCGTGGTGGCGTGCACCTTTAATCCCAGCTGCTTGGGAGACTGAGGCACAAGAATTGCTTGAACTGGGGAGGTGGAGGTTGCAGTGAGCCAAGATTGCGCCACTGCACTCCAGCCTGGGTGACAGAGCAGCAAAAAAAAAAAAGACAGGATTGGAGCAATGTCTTATGGGATTATGGGAACAAGACTTGGGGTGCAGCTTAGGAGGCTGAGAGAGTTTCCGTTTGGGAGAGTGCTGGGCCCATGACAGGAGAAGGCCACTTACTGTTCTTTTTGTGGAGAGTGATGCAGCTGCTGCCAGCTGGGGTGAGGCAGATGTCAGATCCCAGAAGGCACCCTAACTCCTTGGTCTCCAAGAGGCATCGGTAGCAGCGCAGGTATTTGGGGAATGGAAGTGGTTGAGGGGGTTCCCAATTGACAGGAACAAACTTACCTAGAACACAGAGAAGTGCTGACCCCACTCACACCCCATTCTACCTCACACCCTACCACTGCCTGATTCCAGGCCACTCAGCCCCACTCCTCCCTCCCTTCCTGTCTCAGAAAACCATCAAAGCCCCAATTCTCTGCTTCCTTCCCCAACTGCATACACATACATCCCCCTTTTCCTCTGGTCCTAAGGCCAGACCACATGTTAACAAATCCCCAGACCCAGCAGAGCACTTGGTGTTAGGCAGAGGAAAGTGCTAAACCAACACTTTGAATCCTGTGTCTCTGTGGCTGGTGCTTTGCAGCCAAGTGGGGAGCCCAGCAGGCTGGACTCAGTCTTGTTCTATCCTGTGGATTCTGGTTTTCTCATCCAGCACACTCCCTAACCCTCCCTATTCTATGTTGCCCTCAGATCCAGAGAGGATTCCTTCAGTATCTCTATTCAGGTCACTGCTGTGAAGTGAGACAGCCCTGGGGTGGTCACTAGAAATCTCCTTCAGAGGCTGGGTGCGGTGGCTCACGCCTGTAATCCCAGCACTTTGGGAGGCCAAGGCGGGCAGGTACCTGAGGTCAGGAGTTCGAGACCAGCCTGGCCAACATGGTGAAACCCCGTCTCTACTAAATATACAAAAATTAGCTGGGCTTGGTGGCTTATGCCTGTAATCCCAGTTATTCGGGAGGCTGAGGCATGAGAATCGCTTGAACCCGGGAGGTGGAGGTTGCAGTGAGCCGAGATCTCGCCACTGCACTCCGGCCTGGGATACAGAGCGAGACTCCATCTCAAAAATAATAATAATAATAAATTTTTAAAAATCTTCAGATTGCACATCAGTCCATGAGCAGGCATTCCCTACCAAACCCATCTGTCCCATCTCTCCTCCTGCATGGGTTTACCTGAGCATCCTGGACAGGTGTACCCAGACACTTGGTGTCTGTGGGTTTCTCCATCCAGGCCAGGAGACCCTTCTGAACCCTTGGAGCCACTTACCAAACACCAAGCTCATCATGACCAGCACTATTAAGAGGACCGTGTAGAGGGCTTGGGGGCTGCTGTGGAAGCACAGGGGACCCAGACTCTGGCTCCCTGCAGGGCCTGCCATAAAACGCATGACTGCCTGCTGGCCTCCAGTTTGGGCTTATATTGGTGGAAGAGAGGTTGGCCAAGAGGAAGGAGAGAGGCAACACCAGCTCAGGGTGGAAATCAGTGCCAGACCAGCCAGAGGGGCAGAATGTTCGCACCCACAGCCACTCTGGGGCATAACATCCTGCTTGAGGGCAGGGGACCAGCAATAGGGGAATGAGAAAAGGAACTGTCTTTCCTATTAATTGGACAGATGTTTATTGAATCACTGCATCAGATGCTGGGGATACAACCCTGCACAAAGTCTCCACCCTCACAGGGCACAGTCTAGTAGGGGAGACAAGTCCACCAGCAATGATGTGGGGAGGGCAGAGTGCTGCCAGGAGCACCTCGACAGTTAAACCACTGACCAGAGGGATTTCGGCAGAGGAGTAACTTGATCGGATTTCTGTTTATAAAAGATTGCCATGGCTGCACATTGCATTTGGGTCAAGAGTGGAGGCCGCCGGGAAGTAGGACGCTATTCCCGAGTCCGGTCACAAGATGGCGGACTGGTCCGGCAGAAGACGAGCAGGGACGAGGAAGCGGGGCTAATGAACCTGAGATACAGTTAGAAGACTGGACAGATTTGCTGTTGGACTGAACGAGGGGTGAGGGAACAGGGGTAGGCTTGCACAAGGAAGTGGTACCATTTTCCAAGATAGGAAACATGTGGTCTGTCTCAAAAAAAAAAAAAAAAAAGCAAATAGGGGGTGCCCAGTCCCACTTCTCATACCCTGGGGACACCTGTCAGACATCCTAAAACAAGGACACCTGGATCCCAAGCGATACGTACTCAGCTCAGTGCTCCCTTGGGGTTCCAGGAACCCAGCGCCTTCCCTCACCTCATCCTTTTTCCTGCCCCGCCTGTGCTCAGCTGCGGCTCAGTGGGCCTGAACTCCGGAGCCCACAGAATCTGGCGCTGGGCGTCCGCTCTCCGCGCCTGACCGCACCTCAGAACTCCGGTAGGACGGGGGGGTGGCCCCCCGCTCAAGCTCTGTTCCCTGGGGAAGAAACCTGGAAAGTGCGAACCGCGCGTCGGGACCCAAGCGTCGGGCCCCAGCGGACATCCGGAGCCCGAAGCGGCTCCCCAGGAAGGCGGCGCCGTAGCGCCACTCTCCCTCCCAGGCGAATTCTGGAGACCGCGGCCCCAGGCGTCTCACCCATTTTCTCCGCTGGGGACCCGCTGGGCTCCCCATCCACGCCTACTCGGTCCCCACCCCACCAGCTCAGTCTTGACTCAGAAACTCAGGGTTTTTACTTTTAGGATCGTTGGGCTGTGCGTTAGGGGAGGAGGTGGTCCTCAGCGTCCTGGAACGACACCACCTGCTCCAATTTCCCGTCTGGAGGTTCTGGTCGAGGCTCCGAACTCGGGTTCCCTGCTACCTCCCAGACTATTCAAGAATTATCCAGTCCCAGGATGATAAGGGGGAAGATGGGAAGAAACAGACGGGAGACGCCCGCCCAGAAAGACTGCGGGAAGAAAGAAATTCGAGAGGAAACTGCACGCCACTGAGCGCCTCCCAAAAGCCTTGGAATGAATGAATTTAAAAACTATATTAGGGCCGGACTGCGGTGGCTCACGCCTGTAATCCCAGCACTTTGGGAGGCCAAGGCGGGTGGACTACCTGAGGTCAGGAGTTCGCACCCAGCCTGGCTAACATGGTGAAACCCCGTTTCTACTACAAATACCAAAAATTAGCCGGGCGTGGCGGCTCATGCCTGTAATCCCAGCACTTTGGGAGGCCAAGGTGGGGGATCATTCGAGGTCAGGAGTTCGCAACCAGCCTGAGCAACATGGTGAAACCCCGTCTCTATCAAAAAATACAAAAACATTAGCCAGGTGTGGTGGCGCACGCCTGTAGTCCTGGCTACTCGGGAGGCTGAGGCAGGAGAATCTCTTGAACCTGGGAGGCAGAGGTTGCAGTGAGCCGAGATCGCACCACTGCACTCCAGCCTGGGCGACAGAGTGAGACTCTGTCTTAAAGAAATAATAACACAAAATAAATTGTATTAGAGAAAAGCCAGAGTAGTGGAGAACTGCAGAGGAACGCGGGGCACCTACATAAATGTCTTGAATGAATGAGTGCACAGAGTGATAGACAAAAAGAATCAGAGGGCCGGGCTCCGTGGCTCACGCCTGTAATCCCAGCACTTTGGGAGGCCGAGCTGGGCGGATCACAAGGTTAAGAGATCGAGACCATCCTGGACAATATGGTGAAACCCCGTCTCTACTAAACATACAAAAATTAGCCAGGAGTGGTGGCGCCTGCCTGTAGTCCCAGCTACTCAGGAGGCTGAGGCAGGAGAATCGCTTGAACCCGGGAGACGGAGGTTGCAGTGAGCCGAGATCGCGCCACTGCACTCCAGCTTGGCGACAGAGCAAGACTCCGTCTCAAAAAAAAAAAAAAAAAAAAAAAAAGAGAGCCAGGGGCTCCTCTTGAAGCGAAGAGGGCAAAGGGCAAAGGGGAAGCACAGGGGAACTTCGCGGCGCCCTCTGAAGCTCCCTCTCGAATATAATCGCAACGAAAAGGCCAACGACTAGAGGCTTTGCGAGGCTGAGGCTGGGCTTCGGGAGGGGATTGCCCTGAGAGGTCCGGGAGGACTTGCTGTGGAATTCAAGCGACCGTGGGCCTTGAGGGAACCGGGGGGCAAGACACCCACCCAGCATTCGCGGAATATTTCCTCGAATTATTTCGGGGAGGGGTGAGGCCGGGGCAGGGTGGGGCCTTCTTCGGAGGGGGCGCGGCCTCCGAGTAATTAATCCCGTCTTTGTTGCGTTTTGCTCCTCTCCTGTCCACCCAGCAGGGCCAGCCCAGGGCGCGCTAAGAGTCCAGAGAGTTCGTTTCCATGGTGACGGGTTCCGCGAAGGTTTTCCTGGGGTGAAGAGGCAGGGCGTTGAATAATCGCCATGGCGACAGCAGCAGATGACGGTGTCCCTTCTGAGTGCTCCTACCTAGAGTTAAGGGATACCTGAGGGTAAGCAACCGAGTGACGAAACAAAGAAGGCGGGGCCTGAGGACAGAACGCCAAGGTTAGGGGAATGGAGCCAGGCAAACGAGGGGCGGGGCTGTAGATGACCCGGTCGGGAGAGGGCCACGGTTTGTTGGGGGAGCGGCTCGAGATTGCGTTCTAGAGAGGAACCAGAGAGAGGGTCTTTAACCTAAATATAAATGAATGACTGGATTCCTGAAGAATCCGGAATGGCTTGTTGATTGGATAGATGGATGGATGGATGGACGGACGGACGGACCGATGGATGGAAATCTGGCTATCACTGACGCCTGAGCTCCCCACCCTCTTGGGCCCTCCACCTCCGGAGCCCTCACTCGCTTGTGACAGCTGTACGAGAAATACATGCCTCTCCTAGGAGCAAACCCTCAACCCAAACAGGCAGCACAGAGCCAGTCCAGCACCTCACACTGGAGGCACTCAGGGTGGAGCCCAGGTCGATGAGACGGCGTAGGATGAGGCTTTTTGGCCCAGCTGGGAACCACTTCTTTCCAGATTTCCCGTCCAGAGTCTAACTTTCCTTTCTCCCAGCGCCATCTTTTCTGCTAGTTTGCCCAGCTCCTCAGGGTGCCTGGACTTTCAGGCCTCACCTTGTGTCCAGTATAGCAGGGTCCAGCGCCCCAGCAACTGGGAAGGTCTGCATCTCTGCTGATCATCCCCTGGAACTGCTGGAACTTTGCTATATAGGGTGAGGAGTGGACAGGGGCCTGCTTCCACCCCTGGGTGGGGATTAGTTCTGAAAACAAACACAGCTGCTCTGAACCTTATTGCATAGGGAGTAATCTGAAGTAGGCTGAGGCCCCTGGATGGGGGGGTTCAGAATTCACATGTTGAGCCTACCTTTCTTTCCCTACCCAATTTCAGGTATCTAAGGGCCCCTCAGGTCATCCACTGTTGTCTACAATTACATGCAGTAAGATGGGGGAAAGTGGCAGTAGGGGCAGTTCAGCAGAGTCCCTAATGGCCATGTCCAGGGAGGGGTGTCCTTTGTCCCCAGGGTATGGGAGGTGAGACTGGGCACCCCTATTTGCTTTTTTTTTTTTTTTTTGAGACAGAGTCTCACTCTGTCACCCAAGCTGGAGTCCGGTGGCACGATCACAGCTCACTGCAGCCTCAACCTACCGTGATCCTCAGCCAAGCGATCCTCTTACCTCAGCCTCCAGAGTAGCTTGGAACACGGGTGCATGCCACCATGCCTGGGTAATTTTTAAATTTTTTGTACTGATGGAGTCTCCCTATGTTGCCCTGTCCAGTCTTGAACTTCTAGGCTCAAGTGATCCTCCTGCCCCAGCCTCCCAAAGTGCTGGGATTACAGATGTGAGCCACCATGCCCAGCTCCTCTTTGCATTTAAGGAGCTTCCCTTAGCTGAACAAAAATTTAGTTTTCAGGGGATTAACTCTTCTGTTGGATCTGGGAGGATGGGATTCAGAACTGTGCAGCTGGCTCCAGAGCTTCATGTTCCACACTTCCCATCGTTTGCCCCCCTGGAATGGGATAGAGGAGAGGGCACCAGTATCAGCTATCCACCTGTTTGCTAACGGTGGAGCATTATGGAGCTGTGGTCACCTGCCTCTTCTAACTCCAAATTTCAGGCATCACATCACCTGATTAAGTCTCAGATCTCCACTTCCAGTGGAGACTCAGTATATCTTCCCTTAAGGAGTTGCAGCGCTAATGGGGGCACACACAGCCTCTGCCCTGGGGTTTCAAGAAGAGCTTCATGCACTGGGTTTGGAGAAGACACAGAAATTTAGCCAGAGACTCCATCTAGGACATTAGAACATTGTCGCCCACGTTAAGTATCTTGCTCAAAAGAATGGAGTTGGCCGGGCGCGGTGGCTCACGCCTGTAATCCCAGCACTTTGGGAGGCAGAGGCGGGTGGATCACGAGGTCAGGAGATCGAGACCATCCTGGCTAACACAGTGAAACCCCGTCTCTACTAAGAATACAAAAAATTAGCCAGGCGTGGTGGCAGGCGCCTGTAGTCCCAGGTACTAGGGAGGCTGAGGCAGGAGAATGGCGTGAACCCAGGAGGCGGAGCTTGCAGTGAGCCGAGATTGTGCCACTGCACTCCAGCCTGGGTGACAGAGCGAGACTCCGTCTCAAAAAAAAAAAAAAAAAAAGAATGGAGTCGGCTGAGGTGGGTGGATTGCCTGAGCTCAGGAGTTTGAGACCAGCCTGGGCAACATGGTGAAACCTGTCTCTACTAAAATACGAAAAATCAGCTGTGTGTAGTGGCACACACCTGTAATCCCAGCTACTTGGGAGGCTGAGACAGGAGAATCGCTTGAACTTGGGAGGCAGAGGTTGCAATGAGCTGAGATCGTGCCACTGCACTCCAGCCTAGGCGACAGAGTGAGAATCCATCTCAAAAAACAAACAAAAAACCATCCCCAACAAAATAAAACAAAACAAAAATGGACTCAGGGCGATAAACTTTGGGGTCTTTCATCTGGAAAAGAGAAGTTTCCAAATGAAGAAAGTGGCCAGCGGCCAGGCGCAGTGGCTCACACCTTTAATCCCCAACACTTTGGGAAGCCAAGGCGGTTGGATCACCTGAGGTCAGGAGTTCGAGACCAACTTGGCCAACATGGCGAAACCTCATCTTCACTAAAAATACAAAAATCAACTGGGTATGGTGGCGCATACCTGTAATCCCAGCTACTAGAGGGGCTGAGGCTGGAGGATCACTTGAACCTGGGAGGTGGAGGTTGCAGCAAGCTCAGATTGTGCCACTGCACTCCAGCCTGGGCAACATAGTAAGACTCCATCTCCAAAAAAATAAAAAAAACTGCCAGGCAACAAACCAATGGGTGGAAGAGGGATTTATTCACTGTGTTCCACAAGGTCCAAAGTTAGAGATAGATGGCAGTTATAGGGAACCAATTTCCTCAGGTACAACCTAAGCATCTTCTCCTAACAGAGCCGTCCAAAAGGCAAAGTATGGCTCTGAGAAGACATGAGTCCTTGGCACCTGGCCCTCCGTCCCTGGCAGGGCCTGTGTTTGTTGAACTGCAAAAAGGCTGTGAGGACAGAGACTTGATGACATGGCAAGGTGGGTGTGCAGGGTTTGCTGCATAAGACGTGGGGAGCAGGCCCTTCCTCACTCTTCACCAAGATAACAAGAGGTGAGCAATGAAAATTGGGGGTACTGCTAGTAACACCATGCAGGTTGAACCTGGAAACCAGCAGAAGCACTGGGTAGGTGAAATCGGATCCTAGAAAGCTCATGAGCCGTAAGCAGGAGGGGGCAACCATGGGCTCCTGGGGTGGTTGTATGCAGGAAGAACTGAAGAAGGAGGCGGGAGGGGCCAGGGAGGCTGCACAGTTGTGATAACAGTAGGCACATCAGGGACCGGGGAGGTTTGGGGACCTGCTGCCTGAGGAAAGCTCAGGTTAGGGGCTGAAGGCCTAGGGGGACACAGAGATGGGAAGGGTTAGATTAGCTAGATTGTCTAGAGTTAGGGTTTCCCAAAGCCCAGCTCTTTGGGGCCTCTGCTCTCCCCACTACCTGCCCCTGGCTCCCTGGACACTTGAGAAGTTATACAATTAGCCTGATAGTAGAAAAAATACCTTTTTATTAATTATTAGGAATAATCCATTCATGTAATGCAGGATGTATGTTGGAGAAGGTTAAGTACAGCCACATGAATGAGGGGAAACGTGCAAGAGGAACAGTGGTGAGAAGGGGGATGGTCCCCCACTTTCCACAAACTATAAACAGCAACATGAACACAGAGAATCACAAATAAGAGGGTCTTTCCTCATGTCTCCTCTCACCCCATTCTTCCATAATGAGTCCCAGTTGGTCCCTAGAGGTGCCAGGGCATCTGGAAGTTCTGGGCTGGGAGTGGGGTGCAGTGAGTGGCCTCAAAGTTGTGCAGATGCTTCCGAGCCTGAGGAAAGGAGGTGGGACAGGTGGGGTACAGAGCACTGTTGGGAGGGGCAGCCACTGGACTCCCTCCCCACCCTCCACTTCCGCATCCACCACCCACTCTACAAAAGCTGCCACTTCCAATGCTTATAGGGTATCCCCAGTCCCCCTATGTGAGCCCTGGCCATTCAAGAACCCTTCCCACTTCCCACTCCTTAGCTCACCAGAAACAAAGCCAGCTGCCGCCGTCCATCTGCACTCATGTCCTCCCCTGCAGAGAGGAGGCGCTCAAAATAGGCCACACATCTGGGTATTCATCCCCTTCCTAGGCCCTTCCCACCCTCTCTCCTGCCCCAGGAGCTCCTTACCCACGCTCCAGGGGAAGTCGGGCCCGTGTTCTGCCTGGTAGGAGCGGAGGACAGACAGACACCAGTCCTCTTCCACCTCCCATCGGCTATAAATTGAGGCTGGTCAGGGAGAGAGATGACAGCCAGTCAGCAACCTGACCTTGCTGGGCCCCCGCCCCAAGCCTCACTGGATCCCTTCTCACCTTCCTCCAGCTGTGAGGAGGCCTCCAACCACTGCCTCACCACTCGAAGACCCTCCTCTGCCATCACCCGGGGATACCTACGGAGGAAGTGCCAGGACAGGTCAGGGCTGATTTTTTTTCATTCACCATCCCTGAACCTTCCTCCCTCCTTCCCTGTGCTGGTATCAGTATCTGTGTGTGTACACTGCCCCCAGCGCGCACACACCCTGGCTCTCACCGATGCTGCAGGAGCTTCAGCAGGAGGTCATTGCCTCGGTTGGACATGATGTCCTCAGGAACCCTGGGGGTGAGAAGAATGTACCCTGGAGGGGCTGGAGGTTAGGAGGAAGGGTCTAGATACCCAGGTTTCTGGTGGGCAGAGGTAGAAGGGACAAGTTCCTGGCCATCTCTGGGGTTCCTGAGGGCCGAGATTCCCACGCACTCACGTGGTGGTGATGATCTCATCCTTGGTTCTCCGGATCAGCAGTACAGGACCCTGGTATCTTCAGAGAACAGAGCAGTGGGAAGGGAGAGCTCAGAGGGAGACGGGTGACAACTGGCCCACCCCTATCCCTGCACTGGTAGCATTCTTACCCTCCCCTTGCTATAGCACAGCCCTTGACCTAGCCCTTCACTCAGGGGTGAGAGGGGATTATTTAAGGGGCATGGTTCAGTCTGGCCCTGCTGGGAGACCCCTGCCGTGCCAGGCCTTAACCCTTTGGTTGCCAGATCCTGAGGTGGTCCAGAGTCCCAGGGGACCTGGGAGGGGTTAGGCCAGTTGAGGTGGTGGCAGGGTCACTCAGGATGTGAGCCAGTGGCCTTTTACCAACTTGCACTTTAGTACTAGTTTCAGGGTTTGAGCGCCCAGCAGAGCTGTATGGGGGGCAGGTGTTCAATGCCGGACGCTGGCCGGCCCTCACCTGCACAGCTGCTCCGCGTTGTTTAGATTGAGATGCTGCCTCACGGTCCTGGTCACCAGGCCCCCTAGAGTGGGATAAAGGTGAAGGGATGGCAGAGACAAAGCCCTTGCCCAACATAAAGGTCCTCACTATTCACGGAGAAAGAAAACTGAGGCCCCCAGACAAAGGAGTCCTCCTGCTTCCAACAATGGGGCGACTTACTCCCCACCCAAGAAAAGGGAGCCATCTCAGAACAGTTCCCAGTTCCAGCCCACCCCTTCCCAGGAAGGGCAGGCCTGGGAGCTGCACTCACTCCAGCTGTCTGGCATGACCTTCAAGGCCAAGGGCACCAGGTCATCAAAGGAGGCATCCAGGATCATGGCACTAACATCTGGGTAGGACATGGCTGCCCACGTGGCTGGTACCAGGGCAGGGAAGAAGAGTAAGAACTGAGAAAGGCTCCTTTCTCCCCACCACCCATGCTCTCATCCCACTGACCCTATAGGCCAACCCCATTCCCCCTATGTTATCCCTTGTTTTTTTCTTAACCTACTTCACTTGGTTAGGGAACTATCTGGAGAGGATGGGGATAGAACACTGGAGATAGTGCACTGAAGATAATGGGCAGGAAACATTCACTTTCCCTGATCTCCCCACCCAGGACCTGGGTCTGCTTTTCCTTTTAATGACTGGGCACAAGAGGGGAAGGAAAGGTGAAGTGTATGCAAATAGGATAGCTTCTTCCAGGCCCACTCAGAGATTCTACTTCCTCTCTCTTCTTCCTTGAGCCTCCACCCCACCCCATTTCCCCACCTCTCCCGGGTGGGGCTGGGTGGTCATGAATGTGTCTACAGTGGGGGATGGGAGGGAGGCTGGTACCAGTGAAGCCGCCGATGGACCAGGCGTAGATGATGATGTCCTGGGGCTGGAAGCCTAGGCGGTGGATGGCAAACTGGACCACCACATCCATGGCATTAGCCTCATTCTGCGGGAATGGCACCCCCTGCAGGAGAAAGGGCAAAGTCAGGAGTGTGTCAGCACCAAAGGCCAGCTCACCTGTCCCTCCCAACGTGGACCCCTCCTGCAGCCACCTATGACAGGCAGAGAAGGTGTAGAAGGAAGGGATGGTAGGAGAGGTTGTTCTCTCCAGAAGACGGATGTGTACAATGAGATCTACCTCCTCCTCTCCTGCTAGCCCCGCACTGTGGGGATGGGGGCATGGCTCCCAATGCTGCCTTCACAACCTCCTAGACCCCAGCCCTCAGGTGAGTGGGACGCCTTCAAGAAATCCACAGCCCCTCTCCTCCCTCCAATGGCTGACCAGAGGGAAACAGACATAATTCAGGAAAAGGAAGGGATTCCTGAGATGGTCTCACCGTGCTTCCAGCAAAGCCTGGATGATTCCAGCCCAGGACTGAATATCCAGCTGTAACACAGGGGGAGGAGGGACTGAGACCTTGTGGCCCACAGCCCTTTCTCCATCCCTGGGGGAAGGAAGAGCAGAAGTACCCCCCAGCTTAGATGCAAATAACTCCAAGCCTTCCCAGAAATAGGAGATGACACCAGAGGTTCTGAGGCAGCACAGGGAGCAGCATGTGATTGTGTGGGGTGTGTGGTGGGGGAATGGAACAGAATGAAAAGCATAATAGCTAGGGACACAGGCCAGGGGAGGGATGTAAGGTTATCAAAGCAAATGGCGAGTGGACTTTTCCCTAAAGCTGAGAGACTCAAAACCTCACCCAGAGAAAGCAGAGGCCAGGGGAGGTCAGGTCAGTGTGGGAGGCAGGGACATTCCCTTTCAAAGGGCGGAGATAAGGAGGCTGAGTCACCGTCCTACCTTCCAGGGGCGTGGAGACGCAGCCCACCTCATAAAACCCAGCATTCCCCTCACAGCAGATCACCTAGGAAGGAGGCAGGAAGGAAGGGCTGGGGGGCCAAGTTGGGACTGAAAAACTCCCTTTGGGCAGGGAGGGCAGCCCATGAAGAGCTTTGCAGGGAAGAGGAAAGGGCAGGTTTCTGTTTTCTCCAAGGGGAATGGAAGCTTCTCATTCCACAGGGTCCATAAGAGGAGAAGCAAAGGGATTACAAATACTCCTCAGAGGCTGACCTGCTCGACCACCCAGCCATGTCTTTTCCTTGGAAGATTACCAGCTGGGTCTCTTTCAGGAAGGGGACTATGGAGATGTTTTTCCTTTCTCGTTTTCGGGTCTGTTATCTTCTGTGACCATTGCTATTGTGTGGTATGCTGATTGCTCTCCCTATCCCTCTCTGAGCTCCAGTCTTATGGTCAGATAAACTGTAATGCCATGGCGCCCCAAGCTGAAACCCACGAATGGTGGGATTTGCATGAACTCTCATAACAGATGGGCAGAGCCAGGACTAGAACCCAGCTCCCTAGACTCCTGGCTTAGCGCTCTTTCCACGGCTGCTTCATGGAGGTAGGAGACTTTGAGGCCAGGCTGCCTGGGTCCAAATACCAGCTCTACCACTTACTGTGAGGTCCAGGAAAGGTTTTCTGTGCCCCAGTTTCATCTCCTGTAAAATGGGCTAATATAAGCAGTACCTATCTCACGGGATTCTTTTGAGAATTAAATATATATGCTTCATATATATATGAGAATTAAATATATATAAGTGTGAAGTGCTGTCAAAGTGGTAACTATTAATATTAGTTTCTCGTCCTTGAACGTCTCTCCTACTTCATCTGTTTCTCTATCACAGGGTTTCACTACATCACAAGGTCTTTAGCGTGGAGCTAGGACATGAGATTATCCCCAGTAGTGGTTCCTTCAGGGAGGTGCTATAGCATTGGGGTCCCCAGACCTCTACTGCCTTCCTCACACTCACCCCACCTCTGGGCTCTCTGCTCCCTCTTACCAGCTTCTGTCCCTGGGGCTCAGCTGTCCCCCGCCGGTCCACAAACATGGTGTCAATCTCATTGCCATCACAGGCCAGCAGCTTTGCCCGGCGCCCATTACACTGAGTACGGAAGACGCAATGGCCAAGATGCAAGGGTCAGGAGGCCACATCACAGGGGTGGGGCGGGGTGGGTGGGGGTGAGAGGGGAGGGCTTTAGGGGATGTGCGGGCAGGGAAGCCTCACCTCTTCCACCAGTCGGGCCTGGCCCTGCAGCAGCACAGGCATGAGGGCCTTCTGCAGCAGGTACACAGAGCCTGGATACAGCATCCGGCGCCCTAGGGTGTGCGCCACCAGGTAGCTGTGGGGAACACAGGTTAACAAACCCCAACCCTGTTGAGGCCTGGGGACTGTGCTGGGGACCATCCCAGCCCTAGCACTCACAGACTGTAAGGCCTGCTTTACCCCTGACCTTCACAGCTTTACTTTCCTCTTTCAAGCCTTAATGAAATATGTACCAGGCTAGTGTTTTGCAAACTTTTCTTACTGCAACCTTTGTAAGATAAACATTTTATATTGTGGCTCAGTGCACACATATCCTGTATGTACAGAATTCTGAGAGTTTTATGATGTAACTGTCTATACATAATAAGTAAATGCAAAGTTATCATCAGATTATGATTCTGTTAAAATATAAGTACAACATATTAAAGGTCCCCAAATAAATAATGCTTTAAAAAATGATGGTTATAATTCAAAACCTCAAATATGGCTTGCCTCCCTGACTAATTAGCACACTGTCAACAACCAACCACTAAGTCCACCCTGTTCCTTGGTATTCTAGAAGCTGCCTCCTAACTCCCAGCAAAAGAAAATTCCCAGTGTCTGTTCCACTATAAGATATAGGTGGTTATTTCCGTTCCTTCTGACATCATCAGTACCCACGACTGAGCTTTATTTGGGATTTACCATGTGCTCTCAAGCACCCAGGCAAGGCAGGAGCCCTTCAGAACATGTTACCTTACTTAATCTCCTCAGCAACCTTGCAGGGCAGGTTCATCACAGGTGCAGACACTGAGGCACACAGGGGCCCGGAGCCAAGGTGGAATAACAACAGGGCAGAGGGGCCACGATGGGTACACAGATGCTACCAGAGCCTGCCCTAGCTACAAGTGTGTGTCCTCCCCACCCCCACCCCACCCCCACTGCTCCTTTTCAGCCTCACTGAAGGAGCTTTTGTTCATATCCCAGTTCTTTACTTACTACATTTGAGACTCCAGACCTCTCTGAGCCTCTTTTCTTCAAACATAAATATGGATAAAAATGACTTTGCCATAAATGATCTACACAAACCATACAGCACTAGGCCCAATGAGTGACAGCTATTTTACAATGGAGCGCCCACTCCCAGAGCACTCCTGAAATGGCCCCTCCACCCCAGTGGGCCTCTCCTCGCTGCTGTTTCCCACCTGGTGATCTGACAAGGCAGCTTCTTAACCCGGTTGAGGAGGGTGTCTGCTGTCCCCCGGTGCAGGGGCTCTGGGCGAAGCAGGGCCACACCCCGGCGGGAAGGGCCCCCTCGAGACTCCTTCCTGAGGAAGGGAAAGATGCAGGGAAGGATAGGGTCAGGAGCAGCAAGCTGGATGTCTGAGGTCTGGAGAACAGTGGGGTCTAGGAACGACATAATGGCATTGGAAGGCAGGCACTGTGACCTGAGAGGGCATGGAGGTGGGAGGGCAGAGCAGAGATTTTCTGGAATGGTTCTAAGGGGAGAGATACAGCAAAAGAACTGGGGCCTCACCGGCTGCTGGGTTCTTCCCAGTGGAAGTCGACTGGCCAGCTCCGGAAGTCAAAGTTGTAGTTGGCAAGCTGCCTCTGCAGTGGGCACGAGAGGCAAAGGGGTACTGAGAACTCAGGGGAGGCTCTCCTACCCACCCTCAACAACACCTTCGTTATCCAGGGGTCTGATCCCCACACATCATGGGGAAACCAAGCGGAGGTCAATACCCTCCCAATTCTCAGATGGAAAATTCTAACAGGACCAGAAAATCAGGGGAGATGGTATGCCCCATCAGGTATCAGGACTGGCCTGTCTGCCCT
The DNA here is from genome assembly GCF_000001405.40 of Homo sapiens. Lineage (NCBI taxonomy): Eukaryota > Metazoa > Chordata > Mammalia > Primates > Hominidae > Homo > Homo sapiens. Next base: position 2,998,705 of record NT_167246.2, read on the forward strand.
CTTCCAAGCTAAGAACCTAACACTCTGCTTTTCTAAAAAACTAAGTCTGACCCATCCCCAGGAGGAGTGGCTGAAGGTGCTAGTGCTTTTGAGTGACGGGTAGTAGGGGTCGCTGGCTGGTCACGGTCTATTCCCCACCTGGGTCCCTTATAGGGTGCTGTCTTAGAAGCTTAGAAATCTCCCAGCAGATCACACTGACAGACCCAAGGTTGAGTGAGACAGAGAGGAGGGAAGTCACGCCCACAGTGGGCTCCTCTGCCATGTGGGGCCACCCGTTGAAGGAAGCTCTGACTTCCATCCTCACAACTACATCCCTTCCTCAACTCCTGCAGCCATGGATCAGTGTTGCCCTACAGCCCATCCGAACCTCGGGCCACCCCACTGAGCCAGTCCACATGCCTTTTTTTTTTTTTTTGAGGCAGGGTCTCGTGCTGTTGCCCAGGCTGGAATGCAGTTGGTGCAATCATAGCTCACTGCAGCCTCAAACTCCCAGGCCCAAGTGATCCTCCTACCTTAGCCTCTGGAGTAGCTGGGACTACAGACATGTGCTACCATGCCCAGCTAATTTTTAAAATTTTCTTTAGAGACAAGGTCTTACTATGTTGCCCAGGCTGGTCTCCAACTCCTGGGCTGAAGCGATCCTCCTGCCTTGGCTTCCGAAAGTGCTGGGATTATAGGCATGAACCACCTCACCAGCTCCACGTTTTTTGACGGCAGTGGGAGCTGTGTCTTTTTTTTTTTTTTTTTTTTGAGATGGAGTCTCACTCTGTCGCCCAGGCTGGAGTGCAGTGGCACGATCTCGGATCACTGCAAGCTCTGCCTCCCGGCTTCACGCCATTCTCCCGCCTCAGCCTCCAAGTAGCTGGGACTACAGGTGCCTGCCACCACCATGCCCGGCTAATTTTTGTACCTTTAGCAGAGATGGGGTTTCACCATGTTAGCCAGGATGGTCTTGATCTCCTGACCTCGTGATCCACCCGCCTCGGCCTTCCAAAGTGCTGGGATTACAGGTGTGAGCCACCGCGCCCGGCCTAGCTGTGTCTTAATACTTGACTATATTCGTCCCCCACCCCCTGAGCTCCTAGCACTCTATTTTGAGGGTTTTTATTTTCTGCACAGAAATTTTTTGACATTTCAAAAATAATTTGACTAACAGAGAGCAATAGAAAAATTATACAAAAAGGTAAATGGCAAAACAAAACAAGATGACTAAAAGCAAATTTCAGGCAGGCTTTGCTCAGACCTGCTCTCAAATCTGGACTTAGCCACTTTCTTGCTCTATGACTCCGAATGGGTCACTTAACCTCTTTTTGCCTCTGTTTTCTCACATTTACAAATAAAGGTAATAATGCCACCTCACTCAGCTGTTGTGAGGATCAGAAAGGGTGTGTGCCAAATGCTTCAGCCAGTAGCATAGTACAGGGCATCATTACGCAGCTCCATAGTGTGGAGTAGCCAGGAATGTGATGATGGTGGTCATAGCTGTTTGATCCTAGAAACCTCCCATAACAGAAAAGAGCTCTATGGGGCCCCAAAGCCCATCCTCAAAGATAATCACAGTCCAGCACCAGCCGGCTTGGCATAATTCCCAAGACACTGAGCCCTAGCTTTTCTCCCTCCTGGCACCATGCTGTACTCCCAGGCATAGGAGTGGACACACCTGTCCACCTTGTCCCATCCACAAACAAGGATAGCATGGTATTCAATGCATACAACAAAATTAAACATTTATAGAACTGAGCTGCTGTGATACAGAGAAAACTACCTTCTAAGAAACATTGTGGGCTGGGTGCAGTGGCTCACACCTGTAATCCCAGCACTTTGGGAGGCCAAGGCAGGTGGATCACCTGAGGTCAGGAGTTTGAGACCAGCCTGACCAACACAGCTAAACCCCATCTCTACTAAAAATACAATATTAGCTGGGCGTGGTGGCGCATGCCTGTAATCCCAGCTACTTGGGAGGCTGAGGCAGGAGAATCGCTTGAACCCAGGAGGCGGAGGTTGCAGTGAGCTGGAATCATGCCATTGCACGCCAGCCTGGGCAACAAGAGCGAAACTCCATCTCAAAAGAAAAAAAAAGAAACACTGTGGGCCAGGCACAGTGGCTCACACCTATAATCCCAGCACTTTGGAAGGCCAAGGCAGGCAGATCGTCTGCAGTCAGGAGTTCAAGACTAGCCTGGCCAACATGATGAAACCCTGTCTCTGCTAAAAATACAAAAATTGGCCAGGCACGGTGGCTCACGCCTGTAATCCCAGCACTTTGGGAGGCCGAGGCAGGCGGATCACAAGGTCAGGAGATCAAGACCATCCTGGCTAACATGGTGAAACCCCGTCTCTACTAAAAATAAAAAAATTAGCCGGGCGTGGTGGCAGGCGCCTGTAGTCCCAGCTACTCAGGGGGCTGAGGCAGGACAATGGCATGAACCCGGGAGGCCGAGCTTGCAGTAAGCTGAGATGGCGCCACTGCACTCCAGCCTGGGCGACAGAGTGAGACTCCGTCTCAAAAAAAAAAAAAAAAAATTAACTGGGCGTGGTGGTGTGCACCTGTAATTCCAGCTACTCAGGAGGCTGAGGCATGAGCATTGTTTGAACCCGGGAGTTGGAGGTTGTAGTAAACTGAGATTGTACCACTATACTCCAGCCTGAGTAAGAGTGAGACTCTGTCTCAAAGAAGAAAAAAAAAAAAAGAGGCCAGGAGTGGTGGCTCACGCCTGTAATCCCAGCACTTTGGGAGGCTGGGGCAGGCAGATCGCCTGAGGTCATGAGTTGGAGACCAGCCTAGCCAACATGGTGAAACCCCGTCTCTACAAAAAATACAAAAATTAGAGGGTGTGGGTGGTGCGTGCCTGTAATCCTAGCTACTCAGGAAGCTGAGACAGGAGAATCACTTGAACCTGGGAGGTGGAGAGTGCAGTGAGCCGAGATCGTGCCATTGCACTCCAGCCTGGGCAACAAGAGCGAAACTCCATCTCAAAAAAAAAAAAAGAAAAAGAAAAAAGAAACATTGTGGAATGTTTCTAGTTTAGCCAGTTCTTACAGGTGAGGGAGGGGGAAGATTGTTCTAGCAGAATATTCCATTAGAAGTGGTAGGGAGGAAAAATTCCTCAGGTGGACAGTTCACTAATGGAGGTGAGAAGGGATACAGCAATGTGCAAGCAAACACCCAGTGTGGTGGGTGGTAAAACACACCTCCTCTTCCTGCAGAAGCCAGTGTCTGGTGCTCTGAGGGACAACTGAGAAAGCTGCTATTGGGTGCCTGTGTGGCACTTTTCCTAGGGCCTCTCACCTTGTTTTCTGAAGACTGGTTCCGATGTGTTGCTTCCAAGATGGTGATGAACTGCCGGTACTGGGGGTTGGTCCAGCGGCCAATGCCTGGTAGAAAAAGGACAGGAAACAGTGCTAGGAAAACTGGGAAGCAGAAAGCCTAGGTTTTAGGAAAAGAATTGGAGATGGGCTAGAAGAAGGCCCTGTAAGAAAAAGTGAAAGAAAAAGGAACTGAGGGCATAGGATGCGGAGAAATAGATGTGAGCCAACCCCCTTCCTCCAAATCCAGCAACTGGCTACAGGACGCTTCTTCTCCCTAGCTTCTGCAGTTTGTGTCTTTATAGACAATCCTTAACCTACCATCTTCCAGAATGTTCCTCTTCCTCAGTCTTTAAACACTGTCATATAACCTATTAAATGACACTATTAAACACTATCATATAATACTATTCTCCCTTGCGAATATCAAATTTCTCTATTTTTCACTGCCATTCTTCTCCAATGTTTGCTTTCTGCCTCTTTTCTGTATATTCTAGCCCCTTGCCATCTGGCTTCAGAGTCTCCGACTCCTGCCCATAATTACTTCCTCACTGAATTCCTGACTCTTCTATCCTCATTCTCTTCAACTGTACTACTCAGCATTCTCCCTGTCCCTCAAGATTCTTCCTGCCTCTGCTTCCTGGGCCCATCCTTGACTCCTTCCAGTTCCTGAACAGTTCCTCTCCTGCCTCCTTTCTGCTTTCCTTTCTGAAGCAGAAGCAACTCTCAGTGCTGACTCTCTCTCCTCTCTCTTTTCACTTACACAGTCAGTGATTGCATCCACTCTCCTTTCACTGCTGAGCCACCTCAAACCCTAACTTCTCTCCTCACTGACTTGGCAGGTGTCGTGTGTCAGACAGGCACCGTACTACACACGGGAGACTCAGCAGGAAATGAGATACACAGCTCCTGGCTCTCAGAGAGCTGGCATTCTGGTTGGGGTTAGGTACAGCCAGGAGAAGACAATAAACAACATTTCAGAGAGGGATAAGTGCTACAGAGAAAATACAACAAGAATGAACCAGAACTTTATGTGTCATCAATGGTATTCCCCCAAAACGATATGATGAGAGAATGATGTGTGCTGCAGAATGATTTGTACAACATTTATGCCAAAAATGTAAAATGTGCAAAATAATACATACTGCTTATAGATACCATATTTCATAGATTCTAAAATGTATATTTTTTAACCCTTGAAAACTCTGAAATTAGAATTCATTTTACAATTGATGGCAGCTTAGACTTGAGGAACTGAGGTATATGTTTCATAAAAGTATGTGCCAGAAAAAAAAAAAACCCACACCAAATGACAATTATTACTTCTGAGGAAAGAGGAAGATGGGACTGAAAGGATTCCAATGGGAACTCCAACCCTAACTGTGGTGCTTTAGTATTTTGTTGACAGAAAGCATTTAAAGCAAATATCACAAAACTATATATAAAAAAAAAATCACAAAACTATACATCAAAAAATTTAAAAAGGCTTTTATATTTTGTTCTCTGGACTTTTCTGTATTTTTTCTTTTTTCTTTTTTTTGAGACAGAGTTTTGCTCTTGTTGCCCAGGCGGGAGTGCAATGATGTGCTCTCGGCTCACTGCAACCTCCGCCTCCCGGGTTCAAGTGATTCTCCTGCCACAGCCTCCCAAATAGCTGGGATTACAAGCGCCCGCCACCATGCACAGCTAATTTTTTCTGTATTTTTTCTAAATTAAAAATAAATAAAATAAAAAACTAAGACAAAACTGAGCAGTGGGAGCTACTTTTAGACAGGGTGGTCAGGGAAGGCCTCTCTGAGGAGAGAGCCCAGCCCTGCAGAGATCAGGGGGCAGAACACCTCAGGCAGAAGGTCCTGGACCCAACTGCGACCATCCAGCCCTGACCCCACCACCCCCATGTTGAAGCATCGCCCATCACCTGGTTGTCATCTTATGTACCCACTAGGGGTAGGTGATCTGTCCTCTTTATTTTTTTAAATTGCGAGATACAACATATGTACATAAAACATATATTCAGTTTAAAAAATACAAAGCAAACATTCATGTGACTATCACCTAGGTCAACAAAGAGAACACAGCCACCTCTCAGCAGGGCTCTCCCCCACTCTGTTCTCCCCCACCCCAGGTAATCACTCTCCTAACTTTTGAGAAAACCATGCCCTTGCTGGGCGCGGTGGCTCAAGCCTGTAATCTCAGCACTTTGGGAGGCCGAGGCGGGTGGATCACGAGGTCAGGAGATTGAGACCATCCTGGCTAACACGGTGAAACCCCATCTCTACTAAAAAATACAAAAAAACCTAGCCGGGTGTGGTGGTGGGCGCCTGTAGTCCCAGCTACTCGGGAGGCTGAAGCAGGAGAATGGCGTGAACCCGGGAGGCGGAGCTTGCAGTGAGCCGAGATCGCGCCACTGCACTCCAGCCTGGGGGACAGAGCGAGACTCCGTCTCAAAAAAAAAAAAAAAAAAAAAGAAAACCATGCCCTTGTTGTCTTCGGTGTTCTACCTCAAACATGCACATCCCTTTTGAATTTTATATAAATGAAAACATACTGCATACATTATTTTGTGGTTAGCTTCTTCTATTTAACACAACATTTGAGAAATTCATCTGCATTGCTTTTGTTTATCTGGAGACAGAGTCTCGCTCTGTCACCCAGACTGGAGTGCAGTGGTGCTATCTTGGCTCACTGCAACCTCTGCCTCCCAGGTTCAAGCAGTTCTCATGCCTTAGCCTCCCAAGCAGTTAAGACTATAGGCATGTGCCACCATGCCCAGTTAATTTTTTGTATTTTATTTTTTCTGAGATGGAGCCTTGCTCTGTTGCCCAGGATGCAGTACAGTAGCGCAATCTTGGCTCACTGCAACCTCTGCCTCTTGGATTCAAGCAATTCTACTGCCTCAGCCTCCCGAATAGCTGGGATTACAGGTGCTCACCACCATACCTGGCTAATTTTTTTTTGTATGTTTAGTAGAGACGGGGTTTCACCATGTTGGACAGACTGGTCTTGAACTCCTGACCTCTGGTGATCTGCCTGCTTCAGCCTACCAAACTGCTAGGATTACAGGCATGAGCCACTGCACCTGGCTTCATCTGCGTTGTTGAGCGTAGCTACAGTTTGTTCATTTGCATTGCTATATAGTGTTCTCTTGCATGGCTATTGCATGGAACTTTTTTTTTTTTTTGAGACGGAGTCTTGCTCTGTTGCCCAGGATGGAGTGCAGTAGCGCAATCTCGTCTCACTGCAACCTTTGCCTCCCAGGTTCAAGCTATTCTCCTGCCTCAGCCTCCTAAGTAGCTGGGATTACAGGCACGTGCCACCATGCCCAGCTAATTTTTGTATTTTTGGTAGAGACGGGGTTTTACCATGTTGGTCAGGCTGGTCTCAAATTCCTGACCTCGTGATCCACTGGCCTCTGCCTCCCAAAGTGCTGGGATTACAGGCATGAGCCACCACACCCGGCCACACAGAACATATTTTATCCATCCTACTATTTGTAGCCACTGGAGTTGTTTCCAGCTTAGGATTATTACAAACAATGTTGTATGCTGTATTCTTGTACATCTATATTGTTTATACATGTGCAGGAGTTTTCCTAGTATGTATACATATATAGAATTGTTGTAGGGTATATGCATCTTTTCTAGATAAAAGCAGCCAGGCATAGTGGCTCACATCTATAATCCCAGTACTTCGGGAGGCTGAGGTGGGAGGATCACTTTGAGTTCAGGAGTTTGAGACCAGCCTGGACAACATGGTGAGACCCTATCTCTTAAAAAAAAAAAAGCAAACCTTTTTGTTACTTTTCAGTTATTTTTTCATATTTATAACCCAAGTCTTTTAAGGAAAAGATCATGCCTTAAACCATTCTCAATGATTCCCTCTCGGAGGCCCATCACTAAAATGTATTTGCACAAGGTACTTAATTTTTAACCAGTGACAGTGACAGATAAGATTCAAACCAGGTTTCCTCTCCACCTACCTCGGAGGCAGGCCACACCTGCCAGAAGTAGCAGCAATGTCCCAGCATAGTGAGAAAACGGCACCACTTTGGACAAACTCAAGTAACCTGGGAAGGGAGAGGGACAATGTGAGACCCTCTCCGCAATGTCCCTCAGCTCCTCTTCCCAGTTCAGCCCCAACCTCCACCCCACACTCCCTGTTTGGAACAGCCATACCCTAAGAGGAAGAAGATGCCTGATGGAAGAGGGAAGCCAAGCCATCTTCACAGGTCCCCTCTCCTCTTTAGGGAGCTGGCTCATCTGCCAACAACCTGCCCATTTGCTACCCCACCACCTTTGAAACCACACTGACCTTTCCTGTACAAGTAGAAGAAGGCGAAGGGAGAGGAGTAATAAGAGATGGACCAGAATACTGAAGCCTGCAGCAGAGAGACAGGGACAGGCAATCAATACACACACACACACACACCTGCCATTCCAGGCATATACTATACACTCTGAGCAAGATGGACAACCTGAGGGATATCATATCATATTTGGTGTATGACACCATGAATACAGTAGGTGCTCAGTATTTGTTGAAAAGTAGTGTGTCAATGTAATGGAGGCTGGGAAAATTTGGTACAGGCTCTATTTTCTTCCTCTGGAATTATGGAAGAATTATGTCTTCCATCTCCAGACATAATTCCATCACATTTAAAGGCAGTCTCTCTGTCTACTCAAGTTAATCAAGCCTTTTCAATTGGCCCTGCTCAGGACAGCCCCTGGCCTGGTCCCCAAGAGATGCGCAAACGTCACCACAGGAACTGTGCCAGAAAGAACAGCTGTCCCTGCAGCCAAAGAGGTTAGTTGCCAGGGAGGACAGGTCACTGGGGAACTGCAGGACTTAGCACCTGCAGATGGTCCCAAGAGTAAACATGTTTTCCTTACGGCTCAGGTTGCCCCCAGAGAAAGCAGTGCTACATACCAAAGGGGAGTGCCAAGTATGCACATTTAGAGTGTGCCTGTGTGTCTGTGTTGGAGAGGTCTGCTGCAGAGCCCAGGGCATCCCCCAACCCCAGGGCACTGTTGCTCCCAAGTTAGGGAGGGCTAAGTTCAAGAGGACAGGTGGGTCTGAAAGATGCAGAGTCCCAGATGCCAGGGTAGACATACCAGTGCCAGGATGCTGTCAGCATGTTTCTCCAGGGCACGGGGCTGATAGTACGTATCCTGCCAAAACAGATGGCCTCCTTAAGGACCCTGCCCACTGGCAGGTCCTTTCCCTTCCCTTTCAGAAGCCCTGCTGTGTGTCCTCTGGTTCTAGTCTCGTTGACTATCTCTCTTGAAACATCCCTGGCCCCCACAGAAACTCCTCTTCCTCACCCTCACTCTGAACCTAATTTCCCACCCCTGACCATGGGAACAAACACAGGGAGCTGGATTTGGAAGCAAAAGTGAAAGCAGCATTGGACGATTTTTGCTCCTTTTCCACAGCCTAGTTTCAAATGGATTGCAGGCGCGTGCATGTGGGGAGAAGGGTTAGTTTGAGAAGAAAGAAAAGACACCTAGACAATCTAAGAAGGAAAGAAAAGCATCAGAAATAAGAGTAGTTGACTAAGAAGAGAATGTGGGTAGGAGCGGGCAGTTTGTAGGAGACAGTAACACAATGAGACAACTGATAAAAAGGAAGAGAATATTTAGAACAGCCTACCACCACCCGCCAGCTCTCCAGAATACAATGACTCGGGTCTCCAGGCTAGGTTGGGCGGGGGTTGAGGGGAGGACCGACGGATACAGGATCTGTAAAAGTCATTCTGAAATTCAAGGCGAGGGTAAAGGGAAGATAAAAACAGAGCCGGGGGAGGCATGAAGAGGCACTGAAGAAGAGGAAACTGGGAGTCTGACAGCAAAATTCAACGGCTCCCCAGTCCGCGCAGGGTCTCTTCCCGGGACTCAAGACTCAACTGGGACCGGCACGAACCACGACACACAGGGTCGGGGGGACGCGGAGAGGAAAGAACAAAGAGTGGCAGTCGGAATGAGAAAGCGGTAAAGAGCGAAAAAGAAAGGAGGCGGCCAGTCCGTAGGCGTGACTTTAACTCAGGAAGCACACAGAGCGCAGATTTTGCGGATAACTGGCTTGACAAGCAGGCTCCCCTTATTTCCCATTATGGGCACTTCTGGGGAGCAAAAGGCCGTAAAGGGTTTGGACTGTACCACGTTCTTCGGTGGGGAGGAACTCGACTCACCCAGGAGCTGGAATGGGGGGCAGTGACTGCCGTTGGCGTCTCAGGGACGCTGGCCGGGGCCCTTTCAGAGTCCCTCTCCCGGTAGATTTTGTAGAGCCGGGGGCCTAGGACGCAGCTCAGCAGCTTCGCCATGGCCCCGGCTCGGGCCGCTGCTCTTCCAGCAGCAGGTCCCCCTGCCGGCCCCGCCCTCCCTGCCTCTGAGGTGTTGTGTGCCCTTGACGTCAGCCCGTACCGGCTCCGCCTCCGGGCGAGTTGCGACATTTTCAGTGCTTCCTGAGAAGAGTTTCGCGCAGTTGGAGCTACGGGTACAGCAGTGGTCCGAAACTAGTGGAAGACCACTAGAACGCGGAGAATCAGAAAATTACCGGGCATGGTTCAATAATTTTTTTCTGTCTCATTATTGGCAGACTCTAGAGCGACAGCGGAAACGAGGGGTGAGATTAGGAGTACTTGATAAGAGTAACCGAAAACATAAGGTGTCTAGGAATGTATCTAGTACAAGAAATGCAAGGTTTTATGAAGAAAACTATAAAAAGTTATTGAAAAGGCAAACTGGCCCGGCCCGGCGCAGCGGCTCACGCCTGTAGTCCTAGCACTTTGGGAGGCCGAGGCGGGGGGATCACTTGAGGCCAGGAGTTCGAGACCAGCCTGGCCAACATGGTGAAACCCCATCTCTACTAAAAATACAAAAATTAGCCTGGCATGGGTGGTGCGCGCCTGTAATCCCAGCTACTCGGGAGGCCGAGACGCGAGAATCGCTTGAACGCGGGAGGCAGAGGTTGCAGTGAGCCGAGATCTTCCCACTGCACTTCAGCCTTGGTGACAGAGCAAGACTCTGTCTCTAAATAAATAAATAAAGGTAAACTGGCCCAGCGCGGTGGCTCACGCCTGTAATTCCAACACTTTGGGTGGCCGAGGGATGATTGCTTGCGTCCAGGAGTTCCAGGCCATGGCTCATGCCTGTAATTCCAACACTTGGGGTGGCTGAGAGAGGATTGCTTGCGCCCTGGAGTTCCAAGCCAGCCCAGGCAACATAGTGAGACCCCATCTCTACACAAAATACCAAGGGGGAAAAAAAAAAGACCTAGCAGGGTGTGGTGGTGCCCACCTGTAGTCCCAGCTACTTGGGAGGCCAAGGTGGGAGGGTCGCTTGAGCCCGGGAGTTTGAGATCGCTCCATGCACTCCAGCCTGGGTGACAGAGCCAGACCCTGCCTCAAAATAATAACAATAATAATTGAAAAAATAAAAAAAGAAAGAGGTAAACGAAAAGCTTTTCAATAAATGGAAAGCTACACCATGGTCCTGGATACGAAAGTTCAGCACAGTAAGATATGCGGAATATTTGTAAAAAGAAAATAAATGAATCATTACTGTTATGCATGAACTGGATCTTAAAACCATGATGCTGAGTGAAAATAGAAAGCCACAGAAGAATGTATACGTGATACTAGTATATTAGATTCAAAAACACATAAAATTTAATGATAAAGCAAGTGGAGAAGAAAGAGAAAATTCAGAATTGTGGTTACACAGCATAGAGGATCTCTGACTGAAACGGAATATTCTTTTTTTCTGTTTTTTTTTTTTTTTTTTTTTGAGACAGGGTCTAGCTCTTTCACCCAGGCTGGAGCACAGTGGCACAATCACGGCTCACTGCCCTGATCCTCCACCTGCTGGGCTCAACCATCTTTCTGCCTCAACCTCCTGAGTAGCTGGGACTATAGGCCCACACCACCATACTCGGCTAATTTTACAAGGTCTCACCATGTTGCCCAGGCTGGTCTCGAACTCCTGGGCTCAAGTGAACCTCCTGCTTTGGCCTCACAGAGTGCTGGGATTACAGGCATGAGCCACTGTGCCTGGCCTGGAATATTCTATTTCTTTTTCTTTTTTTTTTTTCGAGACCGAGTTTCGCTCTTATTGCCCAGGCTGGAGTGCAATGGCCCGATCTCGGCTCACCACAACCTCTGCCTCTGGGGTTCAAGCGATTCTCCTGCCTCAGCCTCCCAAGTAGCTGAGATTACAGGCATGTACCACCATGCCCTGCTAATTTTTTTATTTTTAGTAGAGATGGGGTTTCTCCATGTTGGTCAGGCTGGTCTTGAACTCCTGACCTCAGGTGATCCGCCTGTCTCATCCTCCCAAAGTGGTGGGATTACAGGCATGAGCAACCGAGTCCGGCCTGGAATATTCTATTTATTTATTTATTTATTTATTTATTATTTATTTATTTTTTTGAGACGGAGTCTCGCTCTGTCACCAGGCTGGAGTATAGTGGCATGATCTCTGCTCACCGCAGCCTCTGCCTCCTGAGTTCAAGCGATTCTCCTGCCTCAGCCTCCTGAGTAGCTGGGACTACAGGCATCCACCACCACACTCAGCTAATTTTTGTATTTTTAGTAGAGACAGGGTTTCACCATGTTGGCCAGGATAGTCTCGATCTCTTGACCTCGTGATCCGCCTGCCTCAGCCTCCCAAAGTGCTGGGATTACAGGCGTGAGCCACGGCGTCTGGCCTTTATTTTCAGAGTTGGGGTCTTGCTCTGTTGCCCAACCTCAAACTTCTGGCTTCAATCAACCCTCCCACCTTGGCCTCCAAAAGTGTTAGGATTGTAGACATGAGCCACCATGCCTGGCCAGGCTTCTTTTACTCTCATTATATTGTGAGATTCAACTTTGTTGCAAATCACTAGGTTTGTTCATTCTCATTGCTGTCCAGTCTTCTACTCTGTTAAGCATTTATCCATTATATAGTTGTACTTCATATAGTTTTTGGTATGTATGGAATATTTCATCAAAATAATTTTAAAAATAAATAAATTACACATTAAAACTGTAATAACTGCATGAAGATCTGCCTTAGGAGTTTTTGCCGTTCAGAAGGATGAATCAGCCCGTTAGCCTTGTCCCTGAGTAATAATTTAATACACTTATTAGGGTTTCAGGAGAGGTCCGGGGTATGCCAGACAACCACAGGGAAAGTCATTCCAAATCATTTACGGGACACTGACTCGATACACAGTCTTGTGCTGGGTTCTGTGGAGGACCAACATAAAAACTCAAACTCAGTTTCTTCACTCATAGCTGACATTTCTTTTCTTTTCTTTTCTTTTTCTTTTTTTTTTTTTTTTTTTTTTTTTTTTGAGATGAAGTCTCGCTCTGTCTCCCAGGCTGGAGTGCAGTAGCACGATCTCGGCTCACTGCAACCTCCACCTCCCGGGTTCAAGCGATTCTGGTGCCTCTCAGCTTCCTAAGTAGCTGGGATTACAGGCACATGTCACCACGCCTGGCTAATTTTTGTATTTTTTGTAGAGACAGGGTTTCGCCATGTTGGCCACGCTGGTCTCGAACTCCTGACCTCAAGTGATCCACCCAACTCATGGCTGACCTTTCTTAGGAGTGAAAGAGACCTCAGAATGTACTTCCAGACTGACAAGAGCTAGACAGGCAGGACCACTTCTCTGCATGGTTTTTTGCATGGAAAGTCTTTATTTGAGCCCCTTAGCTGATGTGGAATCAGAAGAGCAAAAAGGTCATCTTCAGAGTGGCCTGGGCTGGGTCCTTTTCTCTCCAGGATAGAAAAGTGGTGGTCACTTTATCCCTAGTAGACATGCTGCTGGGCTTTATCGCCCCAGCATTCCCATCCCCTCCAGAGCCCCTTGTCACTCCAGACCAGCGAGTGTGGGCCTTTATCTGGACTCTGCTTCCTCCCTGGGGACACCAGGTCTTGGAGCAAGAGAACTTGGCAGGCTCTCCCCATGGCAGTCTTATTCCTCCTCCTGTTCCTATGTGGAACTCCCCAGGCTGCAGGTAAGGGGCAAGAGGTACGGGATTCCTTAGCTATTTGCAAGGTTGGGGAGGGACTACTGCTCTTTCTCCTAGGAGCCTGGCGAAGGCATCTGACTCAAGAAGATAGAATTACCCCAACCAACCTCCTCCTGCCTCTGACACTAGGGAAGACCCAGAGGCAACGAGGGTCCAGGTTATGCAGTTTCCTTTATAAAATAAGAAGAATGAGTAAATGCTTCCAGAAAAGTAGAAATGAGTAGAAGAGATGTGGGCATTTGCCAACTTTCAGCCTTTTCCCTCTTGCCCTCAGACCCCCTCACTGGCTGGGGGAGAGAGGAGGAAAGCCCTTACCCTCTTCTCTCCACCTGTCTTATTTTTGTAGCTGTCACTTGAGAAATGTGGTCACCAGCCAGGCCTGTGCTGGGGGACCCCAGAAGGGAAGGAAGCCAGGGTTGAAGATCAAATGGGGGGTTATTGATCTGATGGAGGTCTCTGGCCTCATACAACCCTCTTCCCACAGACAACATGCAGGCCATCTATGTGGCCTTGGGGGAGGCAGTAGAGCTGCCATGTCCCTCACCACCTACTCTACATGGGGACGAACACCTGTCATGGTTCTGCAGCCCTGCAGCAGGCTCCTTCACCACCCTGGTAGCCCAAGTCCAAGTGGGCAGGCCAGCCCCAGACCCTGGAAAACCAGGAAGGGAATCCAGGCTCAGACTGCTGGGGAACTATTCTTTGTGGTTGGAGGGATCCAAAGAGGAAGATGCCGGGCGGTACTGGTGCGCTGTGCTAGGTCAGCACCACAACTACCAGAACTGGAGGGTGTACGACGTCTTGGTGCTCAAAGGTGAGTGGGGGCATGCAGACCAGGGGCTACTGTGGCCCAGGAAGTCCAGGTGAAGAACTGAGGAATCCCTCTCTCCCCTACAGGATCCCAGTTATCTGCAAGGGCTGCAGATGGATCCCCCTGCAATGTCCTCCTGTGCTCTGTGGTCCCCAGCAGACGCATGGACTCTGTGACCTGGCAGGAAGGGAAGGGTCCCGTGAGGGGCCGTGTTCAGTCCTTCTGGGGCAGTGAGGCTGCCCTGCTCTTGGTGTGTCCTGGGGAGGGGCTTTCTGAGCCCAGGAGCCGAAGACCAAGAATCATCCGCTGCCTCATGACTCACAACAAAGGGGTCAGCTTTAGCCTGGCAGGTAAACTGAGGAAGGAGACGGAAAGGGATGTTCTTTCACTTCAGCCTCCCAAGTAGCTGGAATTACAGGCGCCCGCCACCATGCCTGGATAATTTTTTGTACTTTTAGTAGAGACGAGATTTCACCATTTTGGCCAGGCTGGTATCAACCTCCTGACTTCTAGTGATCTGCCTGCCTCAGTCTCCCAAAGTGCTGGGATTATAGGCATGAGCCACCGCACCTTTAAATTTTTTGTAGAGACAGGATCTTGCTATGTTGCCCAGTCTGGTCTCAAACTACTGGCCTCAAATGATCCTCCTATCTTGGTCTCCCAAAGTGCTGGGGTTACAGGCATGAGCCATCACATCTGGCTATTTTTTCTTGAAAGAAAGGGTGAATTACTATAAAGGGTGTGAGGGGAAAGTGTGGTTATGGCTGGTGGTCTGCTCTGTAGTTGGTTGCCCATGCGTGAGCAGGGGGCATTGCCATTCTCTACTTTTTATTTTATTTTATTTTATTTTATTATTATTAGGCCAGGCATGGTAGCTCAATCCTGTAATCCCAGCACTTTGGGAGGCCGAAGCAGGCGGATCACTTGAGGTTGGGAGTTCAAGACCAGCCTGACTAACATGGAGAAATTCTGTCTCTACTAAAAATACAAAATTAGCCGGGTATGGTGGCACATGCCTCTAACCCCAGCTACTCGGGAGGCTGAGGCAGGAGAATCACTTGAACCTGGGAGGTGGAGGGCGCAGTGAGCCAAGATCACGCCATTGCACTCCAGCCTGGGCAACAAGAGCGAAGCTCTATCTGAAAAAAAAAAAATTGTATTTTTAGTAGAGACGGGGTTTCACCATGTTGGCCAGGATGGCCTTGATCTCTTGACCTCATGATCTGCCTGCCTCAGTCTCCCAAAGTGTTAGGATTATAGGTGTGAGCCACCACGCCTGGCCTTTTTTTTTTTTTTTTTTTTTTTTTTTGGGATGGAGACTTGTTCTGTTGGCCAGGCTGGAATGCAGTGGCACGATCTTGGCTCACTGCAACCTCTGCCTCTTGGGTTCAAGCTATTCTCCCATCTCAGCCTCCTGAGTAGCTGGACTACAGGTGCCTGCCACCACGCCTGGCTAACTTTTGTGTGTGTGTGTGTGTTTTTTTTTGTTTTTTTTTTGAGACAGAGTCTCTCTCTGTCGCCAGGCTGGAGTGCAGTGGCGCAATCCCGGCTCACTGCAACCTCTGACTCCCTGGTTCAAGTGATTCTCCTGCCTCAGCCTCTCGAGTAGCTAGGATTACAGGCATATGCCACCACGTCCAGCTAATTTTTGTATTTTTAGTGGAGCCGGGGTTTCACCATGTTGGCCAGGATAGTCTCAATCTCCTGACCTCGTGATCTGCCCGCCTTGGTCTCCCAAAGTGCTGGGATTACAGGTGTGAGCCACAGCGCCCGGCCTCTTTTTTGTGTTTTTAGTAGAGATGGGGTTTCACCATGTTGGTCAGGCTGGTCTCGACCTCCTGACCTCAGGTGATCCACCCACCTCGGCCTCCCAAAGTGCTGGGATTACAGGTGTGAACCACTGCGCCTGGCCTCAATTTTTATACTTTCAGTAGAGATGAGGTTTCATCATGTTGACCAGGCTGGTCTTGAACTCCTGACCTCAAGTGGTCTGCTCGCCTTGGCCTCCTAATGTGCTGGAATTACAGGCATGAGCCACTGTGCCTGGCCGCCATTCTCTATGGGTCAGGGTGAGAGGCCTGGAAAGGGGCAGAGTAGGGTGGAGGATATTGTGGGCAGGGAAGCTTACAAAGTCTTCTGTTGGAAGAGCCCACCAGACTGTGGAGGGGAAGCCTCTCTTTGGGGCACAGGGACAGGGCCCCTCACTACCTCCCTCCCATCCCTCTGGTCTGGCCCTTACTACAGCCTCCATCGATGCTTCTCCTGCCCTCTGTGCCCCTTCCACGGGCTGGGACATGCCTTGGATTCTGATGCTGCTGCTCACAATGGGCCAGGGAGTTGTCATCCTGGCCCTCAGCATCGTGCTCTGGAGGCAGAGGGTCCGTGGGGCTCCAGGCAGAGGTGAGTCCCTCCCTCCCCGGGGAAAGAAGAGGGCACATGGGTGGGAGGCAAAGGGCTAGGCTCACACCCCGCCTCTGTACCCCACCTCCTCTAGGGGAGGGGGCGAGGAACACGCCTCTAAGTTGTCTGCTGACTTCTCTTCTGTATCCCTGATGGCTCCTTCTCCCCAGATGCCTCGATTCCTCAGTTCAAACCCGAAATCCAGGTCTATGAGAACATCCATTTGGCCCGTCTTGGGTGAGGAACAGCTAGGGAACAGAGGCTTAAATCCTGGAGGGGACTGGGGATGGAGAGGAAACACGGGTTGGGTTGGGGATGGGCCCTCGTTCCTGAGGATGTGAAAAGTAGAGGTATCCTTAATCTGTCTCTCTGGAAAACCCCACAGCCCACCTGCCCACAAGCCCAGGTGATTTTGGTGACATCTGCTGGGAAGTGTGACCTGCTGTCTCGCTGGCCATCTGGCACCTGGAAGATTCCTCGACAACCTTAGCAAGGGGGGCGGGACTGAGAGTTCGACTTCACCATCCAGCTGGCCTCCAGCAGCCACCAAGCTGTGTATGGGGAGGGGTGGGGGACTGAAGGAAAGGAGGAGCATTATTCTGTGATGTAACCTACAAAAAGGTTTGGTCTCCTGTCTTGTAGCAGCAGTGGAGGGATGGCCCTGAGCCCATAGTACTGTGGGGTTGAGGGGAGCCTGAGGTTGCTGGTGGGGGCAAGGAGGATGGGTGTGCACAGGGAGGAGACAGGAATCTGGAGACTTGAGCAATGGTGAGGAATCCATTGCAGTGGAGCTGAAGGACAAATGGGGAAAACGGAGGAAGAGAGAGAAGGGAAGAGACTCAAGTCAGAGAAAGTGGAAAGAGATGGACAGAGGGAGAAAAATAGAAGCACAAAGTGGGAGGATGGAGGGACAGAGAAAATGGAAAGCCTCAACCCATCTCTAAATTAAGCCAGACCCCCACTACCCCATGTCTCATCCTCACAAAGAAGAGAGGGAACAGGCATATTTAATCAACCCCAGACTTCCTCACATGCAAGGGGAGGGAACTGAGTCAGGATAGAGATGCCTGTGCTCAGCTCCCACCCGGGGCCCCCTCCTTATCCTTCCTTATCCTAGGCACACACTCTTCCCTGTGGCGCCTTACCGGGGCATTCAGAGCATGTGAGCAGCTATCGCCACTCTGGCACTTCCTTCCTGCTGCCCTGAGGTCACACCCTATTTCTCGGGGGCAGAGGGAGTGTCTACTCAGGCTGGCAGGCCCAGTGGGGGTATGTTATTTATTGGGCCGGGGCCATGCTGGGATGTCTGTGAACCATGGGCGAGTCTGGGCTGGTGAAGCGAGGGAGGATATTGATGCTCCCAACTTGGCCATTCCCTAGTCTCAGGCAGAAATGAGCTGAGCTCCAGCCACACCCTCACAAGCAGCTCCACTGGGTGCCCTTTTGTGTCTCTGCTCAAGCTTGGGCCTTACTGGAAAAAAGCTTTCTCAGAAGTCTCACCTAAAGGCTTCAGGCTGCAGGGGCTTAAACTAAGCCATTGGCAAGAAAAAGGACGAAAATGACACAGATGGAGAATGAGGGGAGTGCCGTGGTCCAGGTTCCAGCTCCAGCCCAACCCACCAAGCAGCTACAGTTTGCTCTTAGAGCACACACACACAGACACACACACACACACACACACACACACACACACACTGCAGTATCTGCAGTATTACTGGACTCCTAGATAGACCTTTTATTAAAGGTACTCTTCATAGTCCCCCAAGCCCTCCATCCTGAGTTCCCGACCTACCACATTAGTCTTTCCTAGCAAGACTCTCCTCCTTACCATACCTGATGCTCCTTTGATCCCCTTGCCTGAGATCCACAGTGTCATCAAAATGCCTGCCTTGCCAGTGACCTGGGCTGACACGGGGCATCAGCAATGGGCATCTAGAAAAGACAAAAGACGCAGAATAGGTGTTCTTTATGAGGTTGGACTCTGGGCAGGTGCCTCCCCAGGCCTTGTGAGGGGTCTGTGAGGGGTCTGCTGAGAGATCTGGGGTCTCTGTACAAAATTAGGTTCTCGGGCATGTCTCAAAGTGTCTGTGCAGGTGTTTCCAGGGCCGCAGTGATGGCGGGGGGTATCCTGGGTTGGGGGCTGCAGATCCACGGAAGCTAGTGGAGGAGGTGTCCTCTCCCAGCGAAGCTGGCCACAAAGAGGGGCAGGGAGGCGAGGAGGCTGGTGAGCTGCTGTGGGGAAGCGGCTATGTTGCACAGGTCCTGCTCGCAGCAGTGGTGCCACAGAGTGTAGGAGTGCAGCCAGTAGGTGGCATAGCCTGGCAGAGGGCACTGGGCCCTTGAGAGGCAGCTTTTTCACTCAGTGATCTCACTCTGGTCTGTGGGATGAAAGAGGCATGCTGAGGCGGGGGCCACAGGAAAGGCCGGATGGATGGAGGTAGGGAGCCTCCTGGAGAAGGGCCATTGGACCAGAGTCCTACCTGAAGTGCCAATACTGATGCCACAAGCTTCATCGTCCCGACACTCGGTGGGAACAGGGTGGCAGGGTTTGGTGAAGCCACAGATGTAGCAGCGGAGCCTTCCCCGGGCAGGGGACATGGTGAGACCTGTTGAGGCAGCAGAGATTAGGAGAGCAGGAGAGGCAAACCCTCCCTGTGGGGCAGGCAGAGGCCAGATCCGGAGAGGGATCACAGAGAGAGGTGACACATGAAGCAGAGAGAGGAAAGCTGTGGAATAAGGGAGGAAAGCTGACAGAAGTAGAAAAAATAGCTGGGCGCAGTGGCTCACGCCTGTAATCCCAGCACGTTGGGAGGCCGAGGCGGGCTGATCATGAGGTCAGAAGATTGAGACCATCCTGGCTAACACAGTGAAACCCCGTCTCTACTAAAAATACAAAAAATTAGCCGGGCATGGTGGCACATGCCTCTAGTCCCAGCTACTTGGGAGGCTGAGGCAGGAGAATCTCTTGAATTTGGGTGGCTGAGGTTGCAGTGAGCCGAGATCATGCCACTGCACTCCAGCCTGGGTGACAGAACGAGACTCTGTCTCAAAAAAAAAGAGGGAGACGATGCAGGAAAAGAAACAGAGATGGAGGCAAGAGGGGTACAGGGATTGAGAGATGCGCAGACATGAACAGAAGCCACAAGAATCAGAGACCAACATAAAAAGAGTGAGACAAAAAGCCAGACCCAGCAGCAGGGAAGTTGAGGGGGTCAGTGAAAAAGTTAAGTAAATGGCACCAGAGACAGATAGGAAAATAGAAATTGACATTGACCAAAGGGCCCAGCACAGAAGCAACACGTGAAATAAGGGATAGGGGAGACAGGGGCGGATCAAAGATGCAGCAAGGGGGAGACAGTTATTCTCAAATGCCTTGAAAGGAAACTCTTCCTTTCCCACCTCATCAGGCTGGCCTTCCCAGTGGCTGGTCTCCCTGAAGTCCCCCACTCCCCCAGCTCTCTTCTTGGCCTCTTCCAGCACCCACACCCCTCTCCTCCCCAGCCCTCAGGTTCCTCCACATGCCCTTGTCCCCACCCCCAGCCCCCTGACCACTGAAGGTTCCCCAGCCCACCCTTACCCAGTGCCCCACAGAGGAACAGCACGCAGAGGAAGATGCTGGAGGTGCCCATGGCCAGACACAGGCTCAGGAATCTGGGAGAGGTGATCTGCACCCCGAGATCCCGGGATTTGTAGAGTTGGAGCATTTGAGCAAGACAGTGAGGAACCAGTAAACAAACACACCTAGGGAGTGAATCTGGGGGGCGGAACCATGACCAGATTCACCAGCCTGACCCAGCAGGCAGCGGGGGCCCCCAGCCTGCCCCTGCAAGGAGTCTGCCCTTGCCTGGAGGGTCTCCTCTGCTCTCTCAGCATGTTGTCTCTGTAACTTAGCTTCCTCTCCTGCTCCTGAGTTGTGTCTGTCGCCTTCCCTCCTACTCCTCCCCCTCCCTCCCCATGTCTCAAGCTGCTCCCTGGCTCTCTCAGCTTCTCTCTGTCTTTGTTTTCTCTGTCTTTCCCCCTCAGTGCTTTCATGTCTCTCAAAGTCACCCTCCTAAACAGCCCCGGCGTGGATCTGTTTGAGTGTAGAATCAACAATACCCCCACCCACACACCCACATGCACACACAAAGCCCAGCTGTGTAAGGGCGGACCCCACCCAGCTTCAGATCCCTTTGATCCCCCCAAGCTTCAACATTCCTACCCTGTAATTATCCCTGCCAGCTTTACTACCTTGGAGGAAAGAAATAACCACGGGTGGGGCTGGAGGGCCTGCTGATGTGCTTGCACTGGGGAGAAATCACTAGAAAGGAAGGCATGGATGGGATTTGGGGTAGGGGGGTGGTGATACAGCCTGGAAGGCTGGGGTTGAAGAGACTGGGAAGGAGGAAGGCCCATCTGGGGAATCAGAGCCAGCATGTACCAGGAGGAGTAAGACTAGGAACAGGGAGTGAAGATAGGGGAGACACAGGTGCCCAGGAGAGCAGCTCTTTTCAAAAATATTGATCTCAGGACCTCTTTACACTTTTCAAAGTTACTTAAGACTCTGAAGAGCTTTTCTTTATGAGGTTATATCAATATTTACT
Organism: Homo sapiens; assembly: GCF_000001405.40. Lineage (NCBI taxonomy): Eukaryota > Metazoa > Chordata > Mammalia > Primates > Hominidae > Homo > Homo sapiens. The sequence continues at coordinate 3,019,817 of NT_167246.2, forward strand.
ACATTAAAAATTAAAACAGAAAATTTAAAGTAGGTATTTATTGATTTATTTAAACAATAAAAATAATAAAGTATTACATGCTAACAAAATACAGTTTTGTGAAAAATAACTATTATTTCTCCACAGCACAGTGAGAAGCTGAGCATTGCTTTACATTTTTGTGAATCTAGTGTCAGGCTTCGTGGGAGATGCCTGGGTTTTCCTATCTGCTTCTGCATTCAGTCTGTTGGGATATGTTGTTTTCGTTGAAGTCCAGTATATGAAGAAAATCTGACCTTACACAGATAGTTGCAAAAGGAGGACCCTCAAGGACCCTGTGAAAGGGTATCAGGGATCCTCAGGGGTTCTTGTTGGTCCACAGACTGCTGCTGAGGATAAAGGAGTTTGAGGACTCCAGAGGATGCTGAGAGCATGCTGTGGGGCCCCTCCCTGTCCCCACTGGGGCCCTTGGTGCCTGCTGGGGGAGACTCTTTCTTCCTTTTTTATAGCCCTATAAAGCTCAAGGCACGGGGGATATAAGGCAGGCAGAGCCGGGCTGGGGAGGGGGGTGGGCAGGAGGTAGAGGCGGTCCTGACACGGGCAGACTGCGATGAAACCCCAGTTTGTTGGGATCTTGCTCAGCTCCCTGCTAGGGGCTGCCTTGGGTAAGGAGGCGGCCAGCTAGCTTCTCACACAGGCCTTCTGCCAGCCGGCTCCACCGAGGGCCCAGGTCCAGCGCCTCTTTTCTCCTGCCAGGAAACCGAATGCGGTGCTACAACTGTGGTGGAAGCCCCAGCAGTTCTTGCAAAGAGGCCGTGACCACCTGTGGCGAGGGCAGACCCCAGCCAGGCCTGGAACAGATCAAGCTACCTGGAAACCGTGAGTCCTCAGTTTCTCCCTCTTCCAGCAGCCTTTCCCTGCCTCCAGCCCCATGTCAATCCTTCTGGCTTCCAGAACCCTCCAGGCTCAGTCTGGCTCTGGGCAGATGGTGCAGCTGTTAGAGGAGAGCAGTCTGTACCCCTTCTGGCTCCTGGCACGGAGCCCCTGAGAGGCCCACAGTCCTTGTGCCCCCACTTCCCCACCTCCTTATTCTCCTAAAAGAATCTCATAGGCCCATTAGCTCACAAATGAAGAGCTCTGGCCCTGAAAGGCCAAAGTTAAAACCAAACTTCAAATTTTCGGCATTAGTTAAGGACCAGGGAGGGGTGTGTGTGTGTGTGTGTGTGTGTGTGTGTGTGTGTACATGTTTTTAATATTTTATTTTAACATAATTTTGGATTGACAGAAAAGTTGCAGAAATACTCAACTTCTCCTAATGCTAACATCTTACATAACCATAGCACAATTATCAAAATCACAAAATAACTGATACAATACTACTAACTAATCTACAGACTTTATTTGATTTAGCAAGATCCTACATTGCATTTAGCTCTCATGTCTTCTTAGTCTCCTCTGATCTGTGCCAGTTCTGTTTTTCTTTGTCTTTCATGACCCTGACACATTTGAAGAGCCCTGATAAATTATTTTATACCTGGAGTTTAAAAAATTACTTTTAGGGCCAGTGCAGTCACTCGCACCTGTAATCCCAGCACTTTAGGAGGCCAAGGTGGGAGGACCACTTGAGCCCAAGAGTTGAGACCAGCCTGGGCAACATAGGGAGACCCTGTCTCTACAAAAAACAAACAAACAAACAAACAAACAGATTAAAAAATTAGTTGGGTGTGGTGGCACATGCTTGTAGTCCTAGCTACTCAGGGGGCTGAAGAGGGAGGATCGCTTGAGCCTGGGAGATTGAAGCTACAATGAGCCATGATCACGCCACTACACTCCAGCCTGGGGAACAAAATGAGACCCTGTCTCAAAAATAATAATAATAATAATTTTTAGGCTAGGCTTGGTGGCACACACTTGTAATCCCAGCACTTTGGGAGGCCAAGGCTGAAGAGTCACCTGAGGTCAGGAGTTTGACACCAGCCTGGGCAGCAAAGTGAGACCCCCATCTCTACAAAAAATGTTTTTAAAAAATTAGCCAGGCATAGTGGCACACACCTGTAATCTCAGTTTCCTGAGAGGCTGAGGCAGGAGGATTACTTGAGCCCAGGAGTTTGAGGCTATAGGGAGGTATGATTGCACCACCACACTCCAGCCTGAGTGAGAGAGCAAGATCTTTTCTCTAAAATTAAATAAAATCATTTTTAGATTAAACAAAAATTACGTGCCGGATGCAGTGGCTCACGCCTGTAATCCCAGCACTTTGGGAGGCCAAGGCGGGTGGATAACCTGAGGTCGGGAGTTCAAGACCAGCCTGATCAATGTGGAGAAATCTCGTCTCTACTAAAAATACAAAATTAGCCGGGTGTAGTGGTGCCCGCCTGTAATACCAGCTACTCGGGAACCTGAGGCAGGAGAATTGCTTGAACCCAAGAGGTGGAGGTCGCGGTGAGCCGAGATCACACCATTGCACTCCAGCTGGGCAATAAGAGTGAAACTCCGTCTCAAAAAAAAAAAAAAAATTACAGATACTTGAAATACTAAAAATTATTTTATAGAATGTCCCTCGATATTTATTTATCTGATATTTGCCATGATGAGATTGAGGTCATGCATTTTAAGCAAGAATACTGCAGAAGTGATGTTGCATCCTTCTTGCTGCATCACATCAGGAGTTTACAAGGTCAATGCATTAACTTTGATCACTTGGTTTCAGGGAGGTGTTTTTTGAGGGGGCTGAAAATCCCTTTGGGCTCCTTGAAATCACATCTGCTCTGCCCCAGAAGGCAAGTCCTGAAGCCAGGAGTCCAACACCCCAGTTTCATTCTCTCTCTCAGCCCCAGTGACCTTGATTCACCAACATCCAGCCTGCGTCGCAGCCCATCATTGCAATCAAGTGGAGACAGAGTCGGTGGGAGACGTGACTTATCCAGCCCACAGGGACTGCTACCTGGGAGACCTGTGCAACAGCGCCGTGGCAAGCCATGTGGCCCCTGCAGGCATTTTGGCTGCAGCAGCTACCGCCCTGACCTGTCTCTTGCCAGGACTGTGGAGCGGATAGGGGGAGTAGGAGTAGAGAAGGGAACAAGGGAGCAAGGGAACAAGGGACATCTGAACATCTAATGTGAGAAGACAAACATCCTTCTGTGAGTCATTAAAATCTATGAACCACTCTACAGCTGACTGGAAAATTACATCTATCTTTGGTTGATGGGAGGGCTAAAAGCGTAATATGGGGCATCCAGGTTCTAGTTTGGGGGTTACCAAGCAACAGCGGGCTTAATTACAGTGGTGCACTCCTTAACCAACTAAACCCCAAAGGGCAATGGCTTATCTGCCTTCTGTGGCTCCTGGATCCTGTTGCTGGGTTGAATCTTCCTTAGCAATGAGATTCATTGAGTGGGGTTGCCAGGGTTTTGTGAGCCTGAGTCTGGGTTTGCTCCCCTATTTCCCATTTGCAAGTTGGCTCCCAATAGGACTATTTTGAATTGAGAAAAGAAATGTAAAAACTGTGATAGGTAAAAACTGCTTGATGCCCTACTTACTAACTAGGCTAGGTGAGGCCTTTGACTCTAACCTGAGAGAAACTGAAGAAACAGGGTCTCAGGCCCCATCTCCATGTACCTCTCCTATCCTTTCTGGAGAGCCCTCAAGCCAGGCCGCACCTTCTTCTTGGCAATACATCAGGGGTGTGGCCTAAATTTAGGATATGAGTTGTTGTGTGCCACCTGGAGACACTGGAAGGGAGGATGAAGACCTGAAAAACCTGTTTCTCCATTTTCCCCAGCCCAGCCTCCCAGGGAACCTCCCTGAAGGATTCCTGTGTAAGGGAGGGAGATTGAGAGTATTATTTCCTGGGAGGTGACCTGACCCTTAGGTCTTCTTATAATAAATGTACATTTTATCAGACTCAGACATTTATTACTCAAAATGGAAAGAGGTGAGTATGGGGGATGGGGTACATATGGGAGCCTGGGTTTGGGGAGTCAGCTCTGTACAGTGAGGTCATCAGGTCCTTGTGGGAGCCTTCACTGGGGACAACACAGAAGCCCCATTTCAGGCCCAGATCCCAATCCCTCCTCAAGTAGGGGACAGCAGAGTATAGGAAGCAAAGTGGGGAGCCCTTCTAGGAGCCAATGGAGGTCCTGGAAGGAAGTGGGAAGGGACCCAGAAAAAGGAGAGTGAAGGGTGTGAGGTGGGAAGGATGGATGAGGAGACCACTCGGAACAGTGTTTAATTAAAGAAATGGGAGCTAGGGAGAGACGATTCTGTAAAGCCAGGGGATACAGAGACACAGGGAGAGAGGCTCAGGCCAAGGCAGGTGGGAGGAGGGGCAGCCAATGGAATGAGTCTCAGTGCAGCAGCCAGAGGCCAAGGCCAGCCAAGGAGGTAAGGAAGACAAGGCCCAGGGCTGGAGTGGGCCGGGGTCCTGCGCTGTTGCAGTTGTCCTTGTTGCAGCAGGTGGTGTTATATGTCAGACCCAGCTTGCGGTTGGTTTGGTTGAAGGCCTCCTGACAGGGCTCTTCTGGTGTGCCACAGCGCAGATTGGAGAAAACCCACATCTTACCTAGGGGTGGGAATGGGCAGGGAATCGGCCAGGATGGGCACCTGGCATGCCTGTGTCCACCTCCCCACCCCATCCACCCACCTAGGCTTCCTTCCTTCCCAACTCTGTCCCTGGCCCTCCCCTTCTCTTTTCTTAGTCTGATCTTCCTTCTGCACATCCTTACCCACCACTCCCCCAGTCCTGGTTCTATCACTTGCTGGCCATGGACCTGTTACTGTCTCTGTTTTTTGTTTTTTTGTTTTTTCCAAGACAGAGTCTCACTCTCGCCCAGGCTGGAGTGCAGTGGTGCCATCTCAGCTCACTGCAACCTCCGCCTCCCAGGTTCAAGCGATTCTCCTGCCTCAGCCTCCCGAGTAGCTGGGATTACAGGCGCCCACTACCATGCCTGGCTAATTTTTGTATATTTAGTAGAAATGGGGTTTCACCATGTTGGCCAGGCTGGTCTTGAACTCCTGACCTCAAGTGATCCAACCACCTTGGCCTCCCAAAGTGCTGGGATTACAGGCATGAGCCACCATGCCCGGCTGTGTTACTGTCTCTTTTTGAGGCCGTTTTCTCAGTATAATAATAGCACCCACATCACAGGGTTGTCATGAACATTAATTGAAAAAAAGGCATGCAAAGACATAGGATGTTGCCTGGCACACAACCATCTTTGGCCAAATATTATCATTGCTATAATCCTCTGCTTCTCCATCTCAGTCTTAGACCCATTTGGGCCTCAGTCCTGGTCATAGAGGCTCCCACCTCCCTGTTCACCCCACTAAGGAAGGGGATGTTACCAAGGTATGCATGTGTTGTCAGGCATTGCTGTCCTGGCTCCAGGCGGCAGGACTGCCGGTCCACACAGCCCAGCACAGGGACCTTGTAGCAGGAGTGACAGCGAATGTCAGCTGGGAAGACACAAGTCAGGCTGAGGTGATGGGGTCTCTGACTTACCTGGGGATAAGCTGAGCTGGGGGCAGGGGTGGAGGGTGGAGAAGAGCCCATCCCGTAGGTGCTCCAACCTGTTTGGCTGTTTGGTCTAGCAAGCACAGAGCAGGTGAGTGATGCAGGGAAAATGGAAAGTGGGCGGCAGGTAAGGGTAGAGCTGTTGCTTTGTGAAAGGCCCACGCCCTACATATCTTCCATCACTCCACCCCGTTTGGAGGTGAGTCAAGAGGGACAGAACTATGAAGAAAAACATGGGGCTGGAGATAGATGGAATGTGAGGAAGATACCATGGGGAAAGAATGTGGATGGTGAAGGAGGAGATGGAAACTTGAAAGAAGGAGAAATAATAAAAATGAAAATCATGAGGGTTACAACACTGTCAGAAATGCCTTGGAACTTGAGGCTGGCGAGAAAGCCATCTGTGGCCAGCTTTAGCAATTTACAATTTACTCTTCACCTCCTGGAGCTGGCAAGAGTGTGGCAAGAGGAACCAGACCAGAATAGAATCCTCTCACCCCAGTAGCTCTTCAGCAGAAAGGAATGATACCTGAGAGACAGATCACCAGATTCCATCTTAGCACCTTATCAAAATGGAGAGGGTGGATACAGAAGGTGGCACCCCAAGTTTCCTGCTTCAGTTAATTCAAGGTTTGGGCAGGCAAGATTTGGTGACGCAGGGTCCGAGGGTGGAAGAGCCTGGTAAGTGTACCTCAGTGAAATCCACTTCACCCTGGAGGTAAGTGGCCCAGTTGTCCCCTCTTCAGAAGGCTCAAGAAAACGCTCTGTTTCCATGGAGGCTCTTAGATGTCACTGCAACCATCTAGAAAGTTTGTATCCCCTGTATGGGAGGAGGTATGCAACCCAGGAGGGGAGTAGGGGGTATCTAGGAAAGGCCATGGCTGAGAGACTGAACATGTGAGTCCCTGATGGAGTAGATGGGGAGGGTAGGTTACAAAAGGAGCCTGGGGCTGGATGCCTAGGTCTTCGAGAGGACACCTTACTGAGCACAGCAGATAGAGGAGAAGGCAGGTAAGCTAGACTCTGGAGAGTTGCATATTGAAGTGGGGCTGGTTGGGGAACTGGATACCAGAGTTTCCAAGGAGGAGACACCTTGGAGTGGGGAACAGGGGACCCAGAGCCCTGGCAGGTGAGAGAAATGGGTCTTTCTTGGAGGTGGGGAGGATGGATGGAGACCTGGCTTTTTGAGAAATAGAGCAAGGAGGCTGTCATAGGGAAGCCTGGTCTTGGTGGCACAGGAGAGCTGAGCCAGTTGGGGCTGGGGGTGTTGGGATCCCGAGTGGTGGGTAGGGCCGGGAAGTGGGTAGAGCAGGGTGTAAAGGTCCTGACCAGGCAAACCAGGTCTTTGGGGCCCCCAGGTGCTCACCTGAGACCCAGCAGAGCAGAACAGACAGGGTGAGCAGCATAAGGGCTTTCATGGCGAGGGTCCTGAGAATGGTGGCAACCACAGCAGCTGATAGAGTAGATTTTCAAGGATCCAGCTCTAGGAGTTGAGTGGCCTTTTTGGAATTTATAAACCCAAAGGCTCCTCCCTTCCCTGCCTCTGGTAGCCCCTCCCTTCTCACTTACTACGCAGCTGACCAGAGAAAAGACAAGGGGTGGGAAGGCACTGAGCAGGACTGAGTGGGGAGTAGGGATGGGAGAGAGGGATGGGGGAAGGCAGGTGCCACTAGTGGCCAATGCCATTGTGGTTCTTGGTTTCAGGCCAAGATGCCCTTCCTGGTCCCCAGCTAAGAGTCCTGCTGCTCAGTCCTCTGAATGAGCATCATCAAAGGCCTCTGTGATTTACAGTGTCCATGGTGGCAGCTTCTGCTGGTTCCTGGAAAATGGACAAAAGGATGTGGCCCAAATTAATTGCTGAATTTGGGTCCCTGGGTCCCTGCTGGGCATTGATAGGGGCATGCTGGTGGAAATTGGGGGAGGAATGGGTCAAATTAATCTCCATTCAGCCCCCACTCGGTCTTTCCAATGCCTGCTCAGCAATAAGTGACTCACTGATGGCTTCTGTGATGCCACAGCAGCAGAGGCAGGGGCTGGGGCTACTCATCCAGGAGAGCCACCACAGGTCTGCTAAGTAGGGCTGCCTCAGGCTCCCATGAAGGTTCTCAGGATGTCACCCGTGCTCCACTTGCGCTTGGTGTGGCCTTGTTGCTCCAGTCCAGCAGCAGCAATTGTCCTAGGTGTGGCTGTGTGCACCTGCTCCAAAGCACCTCCCCAGTCAAAACCTGCCAACTTGGGCAGGGTACCAAGCCAGGAGGAACAGCATGGGCACAGAGAGGTGAGGTAGAAGCTAAAATAAGAATAGAAATAGTAGGCCGGGTGTGGTGGCTCACACCTGTAATCTCAGCACTTTGGGAGGCCGAGGTGGGTGGATCACAAGGTCAAGAGATCGAGACCATCCTGGCCAACATGGTGAAACCCCATCTCTACTGAAAATACAAAAATTAGTCAGGTGTGGTGGCATGCACCTGTAGTTCCAGCTACTCAGGAGGCTGAGACAGGAGACTCACTTGAATCCAGGAGCCGGAGGCTGCAGTGAGTCGAGATTGCACTCCAGCCTGGCCACAGAGCAAGACTCTGACTCAAAAAAAAAAAAAAAAAAAAGAATAGAAATAGTAATAATAATGGCAAGCACTTACATAGTGATCCTATGTATTCTAAGCAGTTTACATGTATTACTTTATTTCGTTATCACAATCCCCTACAAAACAGGAGTTTTTGTTGTTGTTGTTTTTGAGACAGGGTCTGGCTGGCTCTGTCGCCCAGGCTGGAGTGCAATGGCCTGATCACAGTTCACTGCAACCTCGACCTCCTGAGCTCAAGCGATCCTCCCTCCTCAGCCTCCTAAGTAGCTGGGATTACAGGCGCACCTGAAAAGTTAAGCAGGCCAAAGCATTTGTGTAAATGGCCCGAGCACACATTTTAAGTGAGAACCATTTGAAGACTCCGAGTTTGCCTGCGAGGATTCCCAAAGGGATCTGGGCAGCTGGTGGCCCCGCCCCCTCTCTTATCGGAGCCCCCCAGCCCCTCCGTTCTCCCCACGCCTAACTTCCCTCCGGTCCCCCCCCAACCGGCCCCACGCCGCTGATTCGCTCGCAGCTTCTCCTCACCACATCCTAACCATGGCTGTGTTTCTGCAGCTGCTACCGCTGCTGCTCTCGAGGGCCCAAGGGAACCCTGGGGGTAAGCGATCCCTGGGAGAGTTGTGATAGACGCAGAGGGGCTGAAGCAAGATAAGGGCCGCCTAGTAGGGTGGGTTGTGTGTGGGAAGATCCAGGATGGCTGGAGTGCAGAACAGAGAAGAGAAAGAGGAGACGGGATGGAGGGTCGTCTTGCCCTGTGGACGTGCCCTAACCACAGCCTCCGGCCTCTCCTAGCTTCTCTGGACGGCCGCCCTGGGGACCGGGTGAATCTCTCCTGCGGAGGAGTCTCTCATCCCATCCGCTGGGTCTGGGCACCCAGCTTCCCGGCCTGCAAGGGCCTGTCCAAAGGACGCCGACCGATCCTGTGGGCCTCTTCGAGCGGGACCCCCACCGTGCCTCCCCTCCAGCCTTTCGTCGGCCGCCTACGCTCCCTGGACTCTGGTATCCGGCGGCTGGAGCTCCTCTTGAGCGCGGGGGACTCGGGCACTTTTTTCTGCAAGGGCCGCCACGAGGACGAGAGCCGTACAGTGCTTCACGTGCTGGGGGACAGGACCTATTGCAAGGCCCCCGGGCCTACCCATGGTAGGTGCAGGCCTGTGCGCACAAGGGTACTTAACTCCGACACATACCCGGAGGAGGGAAGAGGGCCTTGGCTGGGGGTTCTTGAGCGGGACTGCTGGCTGTCCCTCGTCAAACCCCTGACCTCAGCATCCCTCCCCGCCACGCCTTTCCCCCAGGGTCCGTGTATCCCCAGCTCCTGATCCCGCTGCTGGGCGCTGGGTTGGTGCTCGGACTGGGAGCTTTGGGCCTGGTCTGGTGGCTGCACAGGTGAGCAGGAGGGACCCGGCCTCGTTAAATGGGGAGTGACCAGAGGTGGAAGGGGCAGGACCAGAACCTTCGCAAAAGAAAGAGCTAGACCTAGAGCTCTGGTCCTGGCTTGGCGAAGAATGGGAGAGGTCAAAGGTGGGAGCGAGGCCGCTGACTGGTGAGTAGAGCCCCACCAGAGCAGATGAGCTGGAAGTGCAGCAGAGTTAGAGCCTGGGCTGGACTGTCGGTGGGGTAGAGTCTAAGTTGTTTCCGGTCTGAGCCTTCAAGTTGCTGGGCTGTCCTTGGCGTGGCGAGTCCCAGGAGAACCAGTGAGACAAGACTGGTGGTTCTCAAAGACTCATATGTCCCTTACAGGCGCCTGCCCCCGCAACCGATTGGACCACTCCCTAGATTTGGTGAGACTAATTCCACCCCATTTTCTTTCTCCTACATGCCCACTCCCCACCCCTCAATTCCTGAGTCTGAGCCCTTGCTGGGAGCAGACACGTTGGTCACCTTCTCTCCATCCTTCAGCTCTGTCCCCCCCACATAGCTCCACTTGTGAAAACCGAGCCCCAGAGGCCAGTAAAGGAGGAAGAGCCCAAGATTCCAGGGGACCTGGACCAGGAACCGGTAAGGGCATGGGGATGGGAAGGGGATAGCCAGAATCTCTGAGGAAAATGGACCAAAAAAAAAAAAGGCCTGAACCCCAAGGAAGACTGTGGAGACCATCTTGTCTTCCTCCCCTTCCTCCTCCAGAGCCTGCTCTATGCGGATCTGGACCATCTAGCCCTCAGCAGGCCCCGCCGGCTGTCCACAGCGGACCCTGCTGATGCCTCCACCATCTATGCAGTTGTAGTTTGAAGGGAAGCCCTTACTCCAAACCTCCCAAGCTAGGGGATCCCAGCTCCCCATAATCCCTCTCCCCTCCTTGGTTCCTCACCTGGAAGAGGAAGGCACCATGGTATAGAAATAAGTGCTAGACTGGGAGTTGGGAGACCTGGGTTCCAGGCTGTCTCTGCCACTGGTCTTACTTCTAAACTTACTCCCATCTCTCCTATAACCTCCATGTCTCCCTCACCACCAGTGTCCTCTCTATACCCAATCAAGCCCTAGCTCCTTTTTTTTTTTTTTTTGAGACGGAGTCTCGCTCTGTTGCCCAGGCTGGAGTGCAGTGACACCATCTCCCTCACTGCAAGCTCCGCCTGCCGGGTTCACACCATTCTCCTGCCTCAGGCTCCTGAGTAGCTGGGACTACAGGCGCCCGCCACCACGCCCAGCTAATTTTTTGTATTTTTAGTAGAGACGGGGTTTCACTGTGTTAGCCAGGATGGTCTTGATCTGCTAACCTCGTGATCCACCCGCCCCGGCCTCCCAAAGTGCTAGGATTACAGGTGTGAGCCACCGCGCCCGGCCTGATTCTTTAAGCTGTTTTTCTTTGTTGCTGGTGTTTTCTTTTTGGACTCCTCTTCCTTGCTCCATATCCCTACAGTATTTCCCACCATTCTAGGTTTGTCCCTTTCTCTTCTTCTGGGACACTCTCATCAACAGTCAGTCCTCAGCCCCCTCCTCTGCAAATGACACTCAGAACTCTCTCTGGCTCAGATCTCAGATTTGGGATTAACAAACTTCCACTTAGACATTCTGCCTGACTGACCTCAGGCATTTCGCACTCTGAATGTCAAACCCAACTCATTGTCATCTCTGAAGCTGCTCACTTAATTCTCCTCTGTATTCTCTTTAACAACCCAGTTGCCCAACCCAGAAACTGGGAGTCACGCAGACCTCCTTTCTCTCTTACTCCCACACAATGAGCCATGAAGTCCAGTCTTTCTATCTTAACATCACTGTCAAACCCACACTGTATTCCATGCCCAGCGCTGCCACGTGAATGTACTCTGCTCACTTCCTTCCTGGATTACCCATAGCCCCACCTCATCCTCCTACCCTTGCTTTCCTCCCTGAAGTCAGAGAGATCCTACTCAAGAGATAACTGCTCCTGACAGCCCTTATTACAGAACTGAAGTACTCTCCTTAGCTTCAGCTCTGTGCCCACGTGCCTTGGCTTTGGATACAAGGTACTACAGCACTTTGTCCACTCTCCAGGCTTACCTGTGTCATTCCACATGCACATCTTAGAAAATGCCAGCCTTAGAGAATTCTCCCTAGCCCCAAAATGTCTTTGCCCAGTGCAATTCCTTCTTCCTGTATTACCCCTTTCCCTCCTTCACACTATCTGCCTGGCTAATTCTTATTTATCCTTAGTTCAAGTATGGCCTTTTCTGGGAAGGTGACCCTCCTTGGCCACCCCTTGCATATACTTTGATGCCCTAGGGCACACCCCCTTTATTTCCCTCATAGAAACAGCCTTCTGTAAATTGTTCCATGACAACCTGTATTTCAATTTGTAAGAAATTTGCATGTACTGTGAGCTCCCCAACGTCAGGAGACTGACCCTTTTGATATCATTGCTAAGCCTCATTAAATGAATGAATGAAAATGAATGTCCCTGGAAGTGTCATTTCTTTTTCTTTATCAAATAGGGGTGGACTGGTAATCTACCAGTCTCTGAATCATCTAACATTTAGATAAATTCAGTGAGCAATCCACCCATACACTCTTTTCTCTGCCCTGGACACACTTCCCATGATAGAAATTCTGTCTTGTTCATCTTGTGCTCAAGTACCTATGACATGGTTGGGCAATGAGTTGATAAGTACCTAACAAGATTTTTGAATAAGAGGCCTTCTTCCCTGCACTGACCCCAAACTCAGGTTTCAGCCCTGCCCTATCCCTTTGCCCCAGTAAGACACCAGTCACAGCCCAGTCTAAAAGGTCAATTCTATTTTATTGGTTCTGAGAGGGAGGATTCACCCAGTGGATCCTTTTCCCTACACTCTCCCCTCCCCCAATATTGAGGCTCTCTCCCAACTACTGCCTATTCAGCATTCTCTATCTAACCCTCCTTCCCCTTCTACTTCCTATACTATCCTACCCCTGGCCAGCAGTACCCCAAGGCCAGGCCCTCAGCTGTGGGGGCGTGTGCTGAGCACCAAGCAGAGGGAGCTGAGCCCGGCGCCAGCCTTCTCCAGTTCTGAGCAGGACACAGGTACCAGGGTGACATCAGAGAGCTTCTGCAGTGCCTGCACAGGGAAGACATGGAGTGGGGAGAGGGGAGTGAGACCTCAGGCTGAGCCAGGCCACTCTTCCAGCCAGCTCAGAGTGGCCCCACCCAGGCTTCTAGAGAAGGTACCCTTCCTTCCTCCCACTAGGAAAGCCTGAAACTCTTTTCTCTGATGGTGCTTGGTGTTGGAGTTCCTGCCCTCTCTCACCTCCTGGCTGTTGGGCAGATCCCCACCTCCACGGTGCAGGAGGAAAGGGGGCACACCAGGCAACCCAGGACGAAGAAAGAGACAGTCAGCAGCTGCGTCATCTGGGAGGGTCAGGGAGGCATATGGGTGATCTGTCAGCACTGCCATTGCCTAGAGGAAAGAGGAAGTGTTCGAGTCTCAGAACCTCTCCACAGCTGTGTCTGCCTGCTCAACCACCACTAAGGGCTGGGGACGGACTGACATTTGTGGAAAATAATGACAGCAAGCACACAGAGCTTACGATATGTCAGACACTAAGTACTTTAGTTACCTTTGCTAATTTCCACCTTGGAATCACATGCAGTTATTTTCAACCCCCTACCTTCCCCAGCCCCTCCTATCTGTCCTACCCATCCTTAGAGTCACAGTTTAGGTGCCACCTTTGGGGTTTCCTGAAACTCCGGAAGAGCAAATTAATCACCCCTGTTCCCAGTCCTGCTGTTGTAACTTCTTATTTTCTCCTGTGTTCTTTCATGTAAGATGGACAGCCCATTGAGGGCAGGGGTTAGGGCTAATTTCCTAAGCCTCCCAGCTCCCGGCCTCCCGGGCCCAGAACTGCGCCCACTTTCGTTGGCCCCGCCCCCTCCTCACCCGGACAGCCTTTTGGGCAGCGTCGCTGCTGCCTGCCACAACAGTGCGAGGTCCCCCCATGCCGCAGAGACCGCGCAGGTGGGAGGGACCCGAGACTGGCACAGTGGAGACGGCGAAGTCCTAGGGAGAGCGAAGGGAGGTATTCAGGGGCGCGGGAGGGGTGATGGGGTATCTTCAAACATAGGCTGCTCTCTGCCTCTCATTTCCTCAGCGGGCGCCCAGGCCCTTCCGACCCCCACCTGCACCCCCTCCCTCCCTAGGCTGGTCCCGCTCCGCACCCGGAACGTGTCCGCCACGATCTCAGCTCCTCGGTGATTGGTCCATTTGGAGAGGCCTACGAAAAACTCCCGGCCTGAGTCCGGGAGGCCGCGGAGGTTTGAGGGCGGGAGTGAGTTAGAAACAAGGCTCCAGACGGCCGAGTCTCCCAAACTCTACTTCCCTGTGCCAAGACCTATGCCTCCCCCCAGCCTCACCGGTGAAGAGAACGTCAGTGCCATCCAGCGTCGCGTTCTCGTCTCCTATTTCCACAATTCGGAGCCCCAGGTCTTGCAGGGCTTTGCGGACTCCATCGACCTTAGGATAGGAGAAGAGGGCACGGAGCTGTGACACCCCCATCCTCAATTCTTCCCCAAAGCCCCGACATCCAGTTCCTTCTGCCTTTCCCCATACCACACCCGCGCCACGGCGCTCACCTCTGGCCTACGAGCGGGGCTCCAGGGCCGCGTGATTAGGGCCGTGTCCCCTTGGATCACGGCCGTGTCGCCAAGCAGCGGTCCCAGCGGCAATGACTCCTCAGGTGGCAGTTCTAGCAGCTGTAGCCCCAGTCGTTGCCTCAGTTTACCTCCCAGCACCCCGTGCTCCCTTTGAGCTTTGGCCAGATCCAGAGCGGGAAGGCCAGCCCCCGCACCTTCCCCCGACGCCAGGCTCTCTGGGACTCCCCGGATCAGGGCATGGGAGCAGCGGCCCAGCCCCTCCCCCGGCGTCCCCATCCCATCCACACAGACTCCCCCTCCAACCGCTCGGATTTCTTAGTTTTCTTGTTTCTTCACCTGTCTGGGAGAAGAAACAGAAAAGGAGGAGACAGAGAAAAAGACATGCAGACAAGGGCGTTGGGGGTGGTTAAGAGCGCCCAGGTCTTCCTCCTGCCATCTCTAGGCGTCCCTCCCACTCCGCCCCACCCACTCCAGACCTTCCGCTCCTGTCGACCTCACTCTACCCAGCACCCTCAGGGGTCAGATTCTTTAAGAGGAGCCTGAGGAACAAGGCTAGGGTCTCTAATCTCCAAAACACCTGTTGCCCCTGCTTGGGGGCTTGTGAGGTCCCTGTCGGGCGCCCCTCTTGGCAGCCACTAGGATGCGCTCACTCCCCAAAAATGCAGCAGCCCCGCCCCCTTAACCCTCAGCTGCTCGCTACCGCAGGGACTGGAAGTCCAGCCCGCGACCCGCAGGGGTTATGGGACAGAAGGAGAAAGCTGGAGAGGCAGGGGCTGGGGAATGGAAGTCCTGAATACCCGAACGAGAAGGGAGAGAGGTGGGTAGGAAGGGAGGAGTTCGAGCCTAAGGAGTTAAGCATCCTCTCTCCGCCCTGGCTGGTCACGCTGCCCCTAGCGCGACCTAGTATAAACCAGACCGAGTCCCGAAGGACTGGGAGAGGTCTAAAACGAAATGCGAGGGGCGGGGTAACAGGGGGCGTGGTTCCGGGGCGCTGGCACTACTCCCGGCTCCAGGACCCGGTTCCCCGTCTATGTCCCAAAGTCCACCCCGCCTAGCTCCGCGCCCAAATACCGGCTCCCCATACTCTCTGTCTGGTGCAGGCATGGGCCCGGCACCCCCAAACTCCGGCCCCCACACGGTTCAGGGCCCCCCACGCAAGACTCACCTCCAGCGGCCACCCCCACTCCTGTCGCGCTGTGATCTCGGCTGGGGCCCCACCCCCCGAGGACAGAGTTGGTGGAGAAGGGAGTCCCCGTCTTCAAGCCTCGGGGACTGGGAGCTCTGGCTTTTAGCGGGGGTCCTTGTGTAGGCGAGCTCATATACTACGATGGGGCAGGGGCGCGACGGTCTGGCGGCTCCGGGGCATTGTCTAAGCGGGACGGGGCGGGGCTTCTTCGGGCCACGCCCATTCCGCCCTGCTAAGCCTCGCCCATTACATCCAGACTGCGCCCCCCTTGCCAGAAATCGGCACCGCCCAGCGAGCGCTGCCCAGGCCCACCCAGATCTGGCCGGCCCTGGCGACGGGGCTGCAAACGCTTCGTAGACCTCAGAACAGCGCAACGGCGGACCGGCGGACCGGCACGAAACATAGCAGCCCCACCACAAACATTTCCCTTCTTAATTCCTGGCTTCTGCCCTGAGCTCAAGATCACTGACCCACCCCTCATTCCATGTCGCCCACACTTTAAACCCCCATTGCGTAAAAACACTTGATTTTTATTCTGTATTTTATTACTGAAATATGTTGTCCTACTCATCCCACCCCACAATAAAAATCTGACCCAGGCCCCCCATTTCTTTCCCTCATCCCCTCTTCCACCACACCATCCCGGAACAAGTGCTCCAGGATTCCCTGCCCACTGGCCATTTTGGAGTGTGTCCATTGGGTAGCAATGTGGAAACCACCAGGGCCTTTGTGGAGAAAATGGAGGGGGTTGAGGGAGTCCCAGGAGGGGCTTATTTGAGGGCCTTTGCCACTTGCTCATAGGCGAGCTCGATCTCCTCATCATCTGGACAGGTGGAAGCGAATTCTTCCCGGGCGTAGGCATTGCTCAAGTACCGATGCACTCCCCGGAAGGCCTCGGGGATGGTGAATCCCCGGTACTTCTTACACACCACCTGAGGATGGGGAGAGGAGAGGGACCAACATGTTAGACCCAGGGAAGCCACCTTGGCTTTCCCTTCTCCCCAGGCCGACATGATAAAACCAGCTCAACTCCTCACTGTCTTGTACTGTCGTTAGCCTTCCTTCTCACTTACTGAAATCCTGGCTTTTAATAACCAGCCATTTTTCCTGAGTTTTTAAAACTTGAGATATAATTTACTTATAAAATTCTCCTCTTGAATTTCCACAGTGACTTTTTCCCCCTATACCACTTCAGGCACTGACACAGGTGACTTTTGTCTCTATATTTTTCATCAGACTTTTTTTTTTTTGAGATGGAGTCTTGCTGTCACCCAGGCTGGAGTGCAATGGCGCGATCTTGGCTCACTGCAACCTCCGCCTCCCGGGTTCAAGTGATTCTCCTGCCTCAGCCTCCCAAATAGCTGTGATTACAGGTGCCCACCACCATGTGCGGCTAATTTTTGTAATTTTAGTAGAGATGGGGTTTCACCATGTTGGCCAGGCTGGTCTCGAACTCCTAACCTCAGGTGGTCCACCAGCCTTGGCCGCCCAAAGTGTTGGGATTATAGGCGTGAGCCACCACGCCCGGCCCATCTGACTTTTCATCATATATTCTTAACTTTCATGTGAATATTTTATTGTCTCAGATTTCAACCCTTTGAGAGCAAGGCCCAGTCACCATACACTTGTGTATCTTTCAATGCTTAGTACACAGATGTTCACTACATAGTTGTGTGGCAGACTGATGTCAGGCCCATGTTGCACAAACTAAACCATAGCTTTGAGACTATGACAAAAACATGGGAACCAGCAGTTTTGATCTTCCACAAGAGGAAGTGAAGACTGAAGTTATAAAGAAAGTTAAAGCTTTGACTTTAGGAAAAGCCTGCTCTGTCTAATCTGGGAATTTGGCAGTGATACCGAGACAGGAAGAGCATTCTTCAAAAGTAATACTGGGATGTATTCCTCTTTGCTAGTCTGTTTGCACCCATGACTTACATCATGGAATATAATTATCTCAAGCAGTGGTCTTGTTAGCAATGACTGCTGCAAAGGACTGGGGTGGGGTCTGCCATTGGTAGCAATTTATGAAAACCACCCTAAGAAAGAAATCGTCTTTAGAGTGGTTGTCAGGGGAAGCCCATGTGGGAGCTCCTTAAAGGGCCACTCCAGTGGTCATCCTCTCCTCCCGCAATAACCACACACCTGTACTATGTGTAACTTTGGCAACAGGTTGCAGTCAGCCAGGGTGAGCTCGTTGCCATCCAAAAACTTCCTCTGAGAGACACCTTCATCTTCAGCACTGGTTTCATCCACTTCTTCTGGGAGGGGGGATGTTAAGTAATTGTCTAAAACCTTCAGGGCTTTCAGGAGTCCCTTCTCCAGATCTGTGCAAGAGAGGGAACTGATTAGAACTTCAGGAAAAGATTGACATAGTCCGAAAAGGCCCGTTGGGGGTGGATACTAATGGTGAGTCCAAAATAATAATAGCTAACACTCATGTAGTTACTTTTCTATGTGTTATTCTAAGCACTTTACATTTTATTTTATGTTAGACGGAGTCTTGCTCCGTTGCCCAGGCTGGAGTGCAGTGGCATGATCCCGGCTCACTGCAACCTCTGCCTCCTAGATTCAAATGATTCTCCTGCCTCAGCCTCCTGAGTAGCTGGGATTACAGGTGCCTGCCACCACAACTGGCTAATTTTTGTATTTTTTTCAGTAGAGACCAGTCATGTTGGCCAGGCTGGTCTCCAACTCCTAACCTCAGGTGGTGCGCTAGCCTCGGCCTCCCAAAGTGAACACTTTACATTTTACAAACTCATTTATATCGCCGGGTGCAGTGGCTCACTCCTGTAATCCCAGCACTTTGGGAGGCCGAGGCAGGTGGATCACCTGAGGTCGGGAGTTCAAGACCAGCCTGGCCAACATGGTGAAACCCTGTCTCTACTAAAAATACAAAAATTAGCTGGGCGTGGTGATGCACGTCTGTAATCCCAGCTACTCAGGAGGCTGAGGCAGGAGAATTGCTTGAACCCGGCAGGCAGAGGTTGCAGTGAGCTGATTGCACCACTGCACTCCAGCCTGGGCGACAGAACGAGACTCCATCTCAAAAAAAAAGAAAAAAAAAAATTTATATCAACCCATGAAATAGGTATTGTCATCCTAATTTTGTGGATCTGGAAATGGACTTACAGAGAGGTGAAATGATTGCTCAAAATTATACGGCTAGTTGGATTTGTACTCAGGTAGTCTGGATCTAGAGTGATGACTGTTCTTAAGCATGACCCTATTCTGCCAGAAAACAGGCCAGCAGCCAACTAACGTCCTCAGTGGGGCAGAAGAGGCTAGGGAACAAATGAGAAAAGCTTAAAAGTCTTGGCCAATGAAAATGCAGGGAAATATAGAGGTAAAGCAAAAATGGGAAGCTGGGGGAAATTTACGAACATCTGCTTCATCTCCCTGATATCTGAACGTCCAGGTGCCCCTAATGTCTCCTACCCGCTGGGTCCTCTCTATTCCTCCCAGGACCCAGGCCTCTGACCCACAAGACTCACTGTCATTGAGTGCTGGGTTTGAATTCTTGATGTAGGCAGAAAATTTGGCAAATATGTCCAGCCCAGCTGTGTTGGACTCAGGGTTCAGAGCTGCCAGCTTGGGGTACCTGAAAGCCAATGGGAAAAATGAGGTAAGATGTCTTCCTGGGAGGAACCTCAGCTAGCTCTCCTGCCCCAGCCCCACCACCATCTCTGTTTTCCATTTCTGCAAACTGTCTGTTTCCCAGAATCTCCCTGCTCCACCTCTCCACTTTCTGAGTGCCCCTATACCTGGGAGGGCACAGCACTGCCTCCAGAAATTCCTCAATCTTGTTGGTGTCTGTGTGCACTTCAGTGCCATACAGCAGGAATGGGAGCTGCCCCCCTGGGCACAGCTTCTGCACTGTCTCGGTCCGCCTGGAGAAAGGATCAGGAATCAGGACTGGAAATGGGGGTCAGGAAGAACCAGAAAGGGGGAATGGAGGACGTGGGATAAGAAAGGGACTCCAGGGGGAGGGCAAAAATGTTCATGACAGAAGGACTCGGGTGGGTGTGTGTTTGCACACATGTGTACACCAGGGGTGTTTCAAGGAACATAAGCAGGCCTACCTTTTGGTGTCAACGGTGGTAACATTGAAGGTGACTCCCTTGAGCCACAGTACCATGAACAGTCTCTGGGAGAATGGGCAGTTCCCAATCTTGGCCCCATCACTGCCAGCCTGAAAAGTAACCCCAACCCAAGGTTATGCCTGATGCACCCCACCCATCCCTAGGCCAGTCCCTGCATTCCCACTCCCAGACCAGCTGTTTTCTGCCTAGTCATGACACATACACTGTCCCCTCACTATGGGCTCTTTGCCCTTGGGCCTGGGTCAAACCTAAGGCAGATCAATGGGAAACTGTTTTGCAAAGGCAGGCTTCTGGTTCCCCAGACACTGAGGACAGGTGGGAGGTAGGTAGAGGGAGGAGGTCCTGGAGAACTTGGGAGGATCTGAATCCTAGAGAGGGAAGGGTGTGGAACTTCAGTGAGGCCAGAGTTGTAGGCTAGAAGCCTGGATTTCTGGGTTCCTGAAGGGAGTAGAGTCTGAAGACAGGAGAGGTGGGTGGGGTTTGGGAGCCAGAGTTTTGGTTCTCTACACCTCCAATCCAAGGTGTCTTTGGGTGGGGAGTCTAGTCAAGGGGCCCTGGGCCTCGCGCTAGAGATGTGGAGGGCCCTACAGAGAGGGGCTGCCCTCTAATTAGCAAGTGGTGACCTCATTGGCCCAAGGGACACCTCCCCCTAAGCTGAGGGTGATTCATCTCTCTGTCTCCGGCTTCCTTCCTGTCAAGGATGTGGGGGAAGGGACAGTGAGGATGAGGCCTGGGCAGCTAAGGCTACCCCTAACCTGCTGCCAGGGTCTCCCAGCACAAGTCCTCTGACTGCAATAACCATCCTCTCACAGGACACAGGGCCGGAATCTCTGCGGCACAGCCTCACCCACGAGTAAAAATAGCCCCGGAGGCGAATGTGAGAGTGAGGTGGGGACCACACCTAAGGGGGCGGACCCAAGCAGGCTCCGACTTCCCTGGGCCCAGGGAGAGGGAATGGCTGCCCGAGAAACCCAAGCAGAAGGGAGAGGGAGACACAGGCAGAGACACACAAAGATGAGAGAAACAAAAGGGGGGAAGGGGAAAGAAAGGCGGCAGGAAAGTGGAGAGTGGGGAGACGTGCGTGCCAACGGAGAGACACAAACGGAGCGGGGAGAAGAGGACACTGTTAAGGAAGGGAGGGAGGGGCACAGCCAGGAGGTCCCAAGACTGGGAAATGAATGCAGCAGCGGTAGGGAGGGGAGCGGCCGCTGCAATCAGAGGGGGGCTGGGTGACACCGAGAAGCCTGCTGCCTGCAGTTTTGCTACCCAAATGCCATAGGACCATCTCTCCTTACCCACACCCGCAGAGAGAGGAGAGAGTTGGGGCAAGTCTTCTACTTCTCCAACCCCCAAATCCCAAAATGCCCTAACCGAGCTCTTCTCCTCCGTCTGATCTCTCTCCCACCCATCCTTGTGGTAGCTACGTTAAACTCACGTCTTCTTGCCACCTCCCCTTCTGTCCCTTTCCCCAGTCCTGGGGATATTCAATGCCACCCGATCACCTCTCCAGCTCTGCTTTTCAAACTCCGATCCCAGTCTCCTGTTTTGTTCCGCCCCTCCAAAGCTTCCCAATTTACTTGCTCTCACTCTCAGGCCTCCCTCAACACACCGTCTTCCCTGAAGCGTCTCCATCCACACACACACACACACACACACACACACACACACACACACACACACCTCTCCTACTGCACTACTCACCCTCAGATCTTGTAGGGACACATGTCCTAACTGAGGTTCCCCTCTGTCCCTTCTAAACCCTGCTGGGCCCCCACTGTCCCTTCACCAGCTCGCCCTCTAACCCCACCCCAGTCTCACTTTTGGGAATTCTCCTTTTTCTCCACTTCCCTTCCTTTAGTCTGCTAGAAACTTGCACTTTTACAAACTTTTCAGGGTTGATCCTAGAATTCTCATTACTTGCTAACAAGTTAATGTCTTCCCCTCTCAAAACCACCCCTCAACCAAAGAGTGCACGTGGGATTGGGGGTGGGAGTCAAGGAGGGAAGGGATTGGGGAGTTAAGGCTGGACCGGGGGAAAGGTGAGAGTTGGCTTCCAGGAATTTGGGTGGCTGAGGAGAGAAGTGTTCTTACCTTCACGAACAATTCGACCTGCGGTTGTTCTTCAGCCATGGTTGCGTCGGGGACCAGGAAGTGGCCGTCCCTGGGGGAACTGGGAGGGGCTGGGACCGGGGAAGGCGGGTCTCACACTCAGGGACTCTCTCCCCTAGACCCAGGGCTGTCCCTTCAGCACAACACAAGCTCAATCAGACCTACTTGCACCCAAACTAGGCCTCCCCACCAGCCCAACGCACCCCACACCCAGCTCCTCCAGCTCGGTCCTCTCCCGGGCTGGATCAGAGAGCCGCTGACTCACCGACCGGCCCCGCCCTGAACCTGGGGAGGGGACTGGAGGGGGGCGGGACTCGACGATGTAGGGAGTGAGTCCGGAAGGGGAATCCTCGGATCTCCCACAGGATGGGGATGGGGGTGTTAAGGAGGAGTCCTGAAAACCTCCTTGTTTCTCCGACCTCTCCTGAACACAGGACTCTTTTCTGCCTCAGTTTCCCTGCTTCATTAATCTGAGTACAACCCGACTGACCCTCATATAAAAAACTTGACACTAACAGCTTGGGCACACCCGTGAAGATTCAGGGATGGGGACTTCAAATGGAAAGGTGGTCGTTTAATCATTCTGCATTTCTTCCAGACTCCAATCCAAATTCTGGGTTGCTGGGACTGTGGTCTGAGAGAAGAACTCGGAAGTGGAAGGCTGGGACTGCAGATAGGAACCGTTAGCCATGCAGCCTGGGATTAGGGAAGGGGTGACGCCAGCACTCCCTGAGCTGCCCAGACTGGAGTCTCAGTAGGTCCTGTGCCCCCCGCAGTCTACTGTCTCCGGGCCCAGCTCAGCACTAGGACTTGCAGTCCTTGTGGCCTACACTTGGGATTGGGCATAGGAAATAGAGTTAGGGGCCGGGTGAGGTGGCTCACGCCTGTAATCCCAACACTTTAGGAGGCCAAGGGGGGTGGATCACCTGAGGTCAGGGAGTCAAGACCAGACTGGCCAACATGGTGAAACCCTGTCTCTACTAAAAATACAAAAATTTGCCAGGCGGGGTGGTGGGCACCTGTAATCCCAGCTACTTGGGAGGCTGAGGCAGGAGAATCAATTGAACCCGGGAGGTGAAGGTTGCAGTGAGCTGAGATGGTGCCATTGCACTCCAGCCTGGGCAATAAGAGCGAAACTCCATCTCAAAAAAAAAAAAAAAAAAGAAGAAGAAGAAAAGAAAAAGAAAGTAGAGTTAGGGATGGGAAGGGAGATGACGAAGTCTTTTGCGAAGGAAACATAAAGCCGAGGCAAGGGGCTTTGTTGCAGGGAGGGGTCTGTTCCTGTAGCTTGGTCAGCTTTGTGCTTCCACTTATGTTTCCTATTGGGGCCCCTTCCTGTGCCCTTTGTCCTCGTCTCACTGACAGGTTGCCTTGGAGATGGGGCAGAGGGGTGGGATTATCATGGCCCGATCCTGAAGTATGTGTATAGGGGGTGGGGTAGGGGTGTTGTTAGCTGGTCCTGTCATGGGGATAAAGAAAGATCAGACAGAATAGTGGGAGTAGAGTCCTTGGGGACACCTAAATAAATAAGCAGGGAGGACATAGGAGGAGCAGCTCTCTCTCCAGTAACCTTGATTTCTATTAAACCTTTATGACCTGCTGAAAAAATAAACCCAGAATTCCAGCCTCCATATCCTGAATTTCTCTCCTGTCCAACCATCCCTTCTCTATCCTCCTCATCACCCTCTGTCCAACAAAAGACCTACAGTTCCAGAAAACCATGGTGGAGTGCAAGAACACAGAACTAAAACAGAGCTTGAAACTTAAAGAAAGGGAGAGACTTGGGGGAGGAGTGGGGTGGAGTGACGTGATGTGCTGCTGGAAACCAGCAGTTGGTGGTTTCCTCTTGTGCTTCCTCTTCTGTGGGTTTTCTCCTGCTTGTGGGAGGGCCTTTTTCTCTCCTCCCGACAGAAAGGCTATCTTTGGTGTTCGTTCCCTTGAACTGTAACATCCTGTAAGGGTATGATTCCATGCCTCTGTGTGGGTGTGAATTCCCTCATGGTGACCCTCAAAATCTGCACACAGGACCCCTTCCCATTGAGGGGAGGGGATCAAAACAACTCTACTTCTCAGGGTCCTCTCCTGTTCCAACTGGTCTGTGTCCAAGAGAAGCCTTAGGTAAATGGGGCCAGCTTGAAGATCAAACAGGTTTGGCAGCCTCTCCCGGCCTCTCTTTTCTCTCCTACAGCTTTATAGCTACAGCTGCCTTGATATCAATATTGACTTTGGCTGGCTGGCATGACTACCCACAGGGTATCGTGCCTTAATTTACCAGGTGACAGGCAACGCTGCCCTCTCCTGGAACCATCCAGCAGAGCCAGGGCTGTACCCCCAAATCCTGCAACAGAGGTTTCCCTCCATCTCACCTCCCTGTCCCTGCATTTCTCCTATCTCAGTAGCTCCTCTTTCCCTCTCTGGGCTTCTCTTTCCACTCCCTCCCCTTCCTGGGCTTGGTAAACTAGTCCCTAATCTCTTCACACCCCAGATTGGAAGGTGGGTCCCTCCCTGACACTCCCCAGAGCTGTCACCAACCTCCTCCAAGTTTCTATAGCTCCATTGCTCAACAGATTTGCCAGGGGTAACCATTAACCCAGCCCTTAACTCTGTTCCCCCACCTTTCTTGCTGGAGGGGATTTTCCAATTACTGGTTAGCACAGCTAGGTCATCTCACCCCCACCATCTTTCCTAACTTCTTGGGTTGGGGGGCTGGGGAGGAATCTCCCCATCTCAGGGTACTAGGAACAAAGCTGGGGAGGATGGTGCATTTAAAGGGATTATATATATATATATTTTTTTTTTTTTCTTTCTCCCTCATAACCCCACCCCCGCAACACACACACACACACACACACACACACACACACACAGACGCACAAATAAGCTTTATGGAGCAGTGACTTCATTATGTTCACCGCTTTGAGTCCAACCCCTGGCCCAAAATAGGCACTAAATAGTTGCCGAATGCATGAATGATAGATACCTCTCTGTCTTCAGGGGTGTGTAGAAGTGCGAAGGGGTATGGGCATGTCCCAGTAGGGGTGTGAGTGTTCTGATCAGAACTACTTCTCTCTGCCAGAATTTGATGTAATTCGAATGCTTCCACCTCTGCTTGAAGGGTTTAAATAATAAATTAGGCCCTGTCGTGCCATTATGGGGGTGGTCATACCCTGTACCCAGGAAACAGGCACGGTAGGGCTGAGACAGAAGTCCTGCTTGTTTCCGCTTATTTATTTGAAACACCGCTCATTTAGGTCTTACTTTGTTTGCCAGGCACTGTTCTAAGCTCTGTATAAATATTAACTCAGAGGGTACAAATATTAACTTAAGAGTTGTTGCAGGAAAAAAAATAAGCGCCTCTGGCTCTTTAAGTTTGGCCTCCCCCTCAAAACCCCCGCAACGGTCCCAAACCCCTTCCAGGGACTGGGACTACGGACCCTGGTCCGACCTTCTCGCGGGCTTCCCACTGCGCCAATCAAATCCCAGAAACAGTGAGTGCTAGAGGCCCGGCTGCTAAGCAACGGCAGAGGGCGGGAAGTTTGAACGTTCTGGACCCGCCCCGAAGGCAAATAGGCCAATCAGCGTCCAGACTCTTCAGCTACGGCAGTCCGCTTCTCCTCCTCGCCCTGTCGGATCTCTAGGCTGGATCCGGGCCTCTCCAATCAACAGCGGCTAGGAGGGCGGGGCGCGTGCGCGCGCACCTCGCTCACGCGCCGGCGCGCTCCTTTTGCAGGCTCGTGGCGGTCGGTCAGCGGGGCGTTCTCCCACCTGTAGCGACTCAGGTTACTGAAAAGGCGGGAAAACGCTGCGATGGCGGCAGCTGGGGGAGGAGGAAGATAAGCGCGTGAGGCTGGGGTCCTGGCGCGTGGTTGGCAGAGGCAGAGACATAAGACGTGCACGACTCGCCCCACAGGGCCCTCAGACCCCTTCCTTCCAAAGGGTAACCTCCGCGTGACAGGAATGAGGGTGGGGCGCGTGGAGTTTCCCACAATCTGTACTTTAGTTAAATACCCGAGAATTCACCTCCTGTGTCCACAGCTCTCCACGCCCCTCAGCCCTGCCCCGCAGCCCTGTAGCAGAAGTACTTAGTGCTTTGCATTCTGCGCGCCACCCTACCCCGGCCTCCTCTGTGAATCGTTGCTTCCGAACCGCCCTCACTTTTTGCATCCGCAGAGCCTCCAAGCTCATGGCCTCCTTAGGAGCGAACCCAAGGAGGACACCGCAGGGACCGAGACCTGGGGCGGCCTCCTCCGGCTTCCCCAGCCCGGCCCCAGTGCCGGGCCCCAGGGAGGCCGAGGAGGAGGAAGTCGAGGAGGAGGAGGAGCTGGCCGAGGTCTCTGAGGGGAGTAGAAACTTGAATGGAGAGTTGATGGGAAGTTAGAATAAAAGAGGGTTGGGAGCCGGGCGCGGTGGCTCACACCTGTAATCTTAGCACTTTGGGAGACTGAGGCGGGCGGATCACCTGAGCTCAGGAGTTGGAGACCAGCCTGGGCAACATGGCGAAACCCCGTCTCTACTAAAAATATAAAAATTAGCCGAGCGTGGTGGCACGTGCCTGTTATCCCAGCTACTGGGAAGGCTGAGGCAGGAGAATCACTGTAACTCGGGAGGCGGAGGTTGCAATGAGCTGAGATTGCTCCACTGCACTTCAGCCTGGGCGACAGAGCAAGACTCCGTCTCAAAGAAAGAAAGAAAAAAAAAACAGGGTTGGGAAGAGCTGGGCAAGTCTCTTACCTCCTGAGTGGCTGTTTCACATTCACTAAATGGGGGTGATGATGCCTATCTCAGAGATTTGAGAAAATGATTAAATTATATAAGACATGGTAAACCCTACACTTATGAGTGATTCTAATAGTGATTTCCTTTCTTCCTTGCTGGACAGATCCATCTGTGTGTGCTGTGGAATTCAGGATACTTGGGCATTGCCTACTATGATACTAGTGACTCCACTATCCACTTCATGCCAGATGCCCCAGACCACGAGAGCCTCAAGCTTCTCCAGAGAGGTGGGGATGGAACCATGAATTCCTCTGCTCTCTGGGATTGCAGATGTGTTACACACACACACACACACACACACACACACATATTTTTTTTTTCTAGACAGAGTCTTGCTCTGTTACCCAGGCTCAAGTGCAGTGGCGCAATCTTGGCTCACTGCAGCCTCCACCTCCTGGGTTCAAGCAATTCTCCTGACTCAACCTCCCGAGTAGCTGGGACTACAGGCGTGTGCCACCACACCCAGCTAGTTTTTTGTGTGTGTTTTTAGCACAGACGGTGTTTCACCATGTTGGCCAGGGTGGTCTCAAACTCCTGACCTTGTGATCCGCCCACCTTGGCCTCCTAAAGTGCTGGGACTACAGGTGTGAGTCACCACGCCCAGCCATGTTTTACTTACATTAACTCACCTCACTGTCTAGCATATTTTGTGTTGCTGTAAGGAAATACCTGACTCTGAGTAATTTGTTAAAAAAAAAAAAAAAGTTTTATTTGGCTTATGGTTCTGGATGGTTGGAAAGCTCAAAATTGGGCATCTTCACTGGTGAGAGCCTCAGACTGCTTCAACTCATGGAAGAAGGGAAGGCAGGGTGTGTAGAGGTCACATGGCAGAGAAGAAGCAAGGGGGAGGGAGATGCCAGGCTCTTTTTGACAACCAGCTCTCTCAGGAACTAATAGAGTGAGAACCTCTCACTCATACCCACCAACACACTCCAGGAAGGGCATTAATCTGTTCATGAGCGATCCACTCCCATCACCCACACACCTCCTGCTAGGCCCTACCTCACAACACTATCACACTGGGGATTAAATTTCAACACGATATTTGGCAGGGACAAATCACATCCAAACTATAGCACTGACTCAATATATTTTACAGTTGCTTCACAGAGGCTCCCTCTTTTGTTTTTATGAATTCATTTCATTATTTAACAAATATTTGTGAGGCTGTTTTTTGGTTTGTTTGGTTGTTCTTTTTTGAGACAGTGTCTTGCTCCGTCACTCAGGCTGGAAGTGTAGTGGTGCCATCTTGGCTCACTGCAACCTCCGTCTCCCGGATTCAAGCAATTCTCCTGCCTCAGTCTCCCGAGTAGCTGGGATTACAAGAATCTGCCATCACGCCTGGCTAATTTTTATATTTTTAGTAGAGGCAGGGTTTCACCACGTTGGCTAGGCTTGTCTTGAGCTCCTGGCCTCCAGTGATCTGCCTGCCTTGGCCTCCCAAAGGGCAGGGATTATAGGCATGAGCCACTGTGCCTGGCCACAAATATATATGACGTATTTACAATGTTTCAGGTGCTTCAGATTCAGCCCTGGGCAAATCAGTCATGTCTGTTCTCCAGGGGTTTACAGCCTAGTGACAACATCCAGAACATCCCACTTCCCTCTCACCATCCCACCACTCTTAACTACTTTTCTAAATCTCAACTTCTACCTGTGTTCCCACTGTGCAGAGCACTCCCTACTCCTAGGGAGGAAATGTTTTTGAGAAGGAGAGGGGTAGGAAGAGGAGGGCTATGGGTTTTCTCTTAGTCAAAGACAAAGATCCTTTAACTCATTTGATCTCTGTTCTCCTTCCAAGTTCTGGATGAGATCAATCCCCAGTCTGTTGTTACGAGTGCCAAACAGGATGAGAATATGACTCGATTTCTGGGAAAGCTTGGTAAGGACTTGGTAAAGGATAGAGGGAAAATGGGGAAGGACTAATATATGGAATATTCCAGGGGGCTAGAATTGGGTGAGAGGGAGTGTCAGACAGAGGTAGAAGGACTGAGATGTAAAGAATGATAGCCTTTTCTTTCCTCCCCCACAGCCTCCCAGGAGCACAGAGAGCCTAAAAGACCTGAAATCATATTTTTGCCAAGTGTGGATTTTGGTATCTCCTTCCTTTTGCTTTGCCTAACTCCCTGTTCCGGTGTCCCATTCTTTCCCCCAACTCTACCTTCATCATCACAGATCTCCCCTCTGCCTTATGTCATCCTAAACCTTTGTGCTCCTCATGCCCTATGACCTGTCCCCCCAAGATCTCTCCTGCTCCCTACCCTTTAATAACCTGCAGCTTATTGGGAAGCCTCTGCTTAAGTCATGTCTAGGGATGAGGGCCTCCCCTGAGGAGTGGTGACACTTTTTGGACAGGGTTTTATTGTTGGAATTCTCCCCATTAAGTTAAAGCCTTTTATCACCAAACCAAAAGGCACTGCCTCAGTGACCCTTATTATGATCCATAAGGCACTTCTATAACTTTCCTAGGTTTACAATAAGAACAGGAGTGTACTATCCTAATTAGATATTAAGGCATTAGTGTTACTAGTTCTATTAATACCATTATTTTGACCAAAATCCTCAATTCCAGACAGATGTCTACTTTCCTCAGCCATTTATCTTTCTCAGGCTGTGCTTTCAGACAAGTATCTTTATATTATATGTAGAATAAAAAGAGAATTAGACTAAGAGTCTGAAAATTTGGTTCTTGCTCTAGCTTTCCATTAACTGCCTGTGTGAGCTTGGGCAAGTCAAATAATCTCTCTTGCTTCTATTGTCTCATTCTTAAAATGGGGTGAAAAAATTGAGCTACAAGACCGTTCCCTTTGCTTGCCTCCCTCAAATAGGTCTGGAGATAAGCAAACAACGCCTCCTTTCTGGAAACTACTCCTTCATCCCAGACGCCATGACTGCCACTGAGAAAATCCTCTTCCTCTCTTCCATTATTCCCTTTGACTGCCTCCTCACAGTGAGATTGGTCCTGGGGGATAAGGGCTGGGAGGCGGCACAAGTGCTAGGGCTGAATTCTGGGAGGTACTGGCCTAGCCCTGGAAAATAGTAACTTTCCCTGGTGCTCTGCAGCCCCCAGGAGATTTAAGATTTACCCCGATTCCACTGCTGATCCCCTCCCAGGTTCGAGCACTTGGAGGGCTGCTGAAGTTCCTGGGTCGAAGAAGAATCGGGGTTGAACTGGAAGACTATAATGTCAGCGTCCCCATCCTGGGCTTTAAGAAATTTATGTTGTAGGTGATTCACCCCAACCCCAACCAAAGTAATGTGGGATTGGGAGGCCTGAAAAGTAAAGTGGGGGTGGGGTGTGGATGTGGCTGTGACCCAGTGGGTCAAGTGCTCTAGGACACCCGGGAGAATCTAAGGGCTAATGAGACTTTGGGAAGAAGACTGGGACAATATTCAGAGAGGGGGACAAAGGAAGTGGAGTTGTGGAACGAACTCAGACTGCTTCCTGCTTTTTTGTTTTCTGTCCTCAGGACTCATCTGGTGAACATAGATCAAGACACTTACAGGTAAAGAGGTGGAGGCATGCTGCTGTCTCTGGGGAGGGAGAAGGATTAAGTTTAATGCCCCAATAATCCTAATGAGGCTCTAGTTTCCCTAATCCTGGGGCTATTAAGATCTCTCTCCTTGAAGGAAAGGGAAGGGGGGTTTTGAGGGAAAGAGAGGAAGAAAAGCATAAAGATACTAGCTTTCTTTTCTATAGGGAGAAACTGAGGCAAAGAAAAGTAAGGGACAAACCTTACATCAAGATATGATCTCGGCTGGGCGCGGTGGCTCATGCCTGTAATCCCCGCGCTTTGGGAGGCCAAGGCGGGTGGATCGCCTGAGGTCAGGAGTTTGAGACCTGACCAATATGGTAAAACCCCGTCTCTACTAAAAATATAAAAATTAGCTGGGTGTGTTGTGCGCCTGTAATCCCAGCCACTCAGGAGGCTGAGGCAGGATTGCTTGAATCCAGGAGGCAGAGGTTGCAGTGAGCTGAAATTGCACCACTGCACTCCAGCCTGGGCGACAGAGCGAGACTCCATCTCAAAAAAAAAAAAAAAAAAAAAAAGACGTGATCTCAGGAGGATATCCCCTGTCCCCATTCCATTTATCAGTCCTCAATTCTTATTCCCTTCAAAAGTCCAAGTTACCCCAAACTCCTCCATTTCTCCTCGACAGTGTTCTACAGATTTTTAAGAGTGAGTCTCACCCCTCAGTGTACAAAGTGGCCAGTGGACTGAAGGAGGGGCTCAGCCTCTTTGGTAGGTGTGCCCCATCCCTCATCTCACATTACAAAGACCTACCAGAAAAGCAATTGGCTCCAAAGATGTGTCCCAGCCTCCCTTCCCACTTCACTCCCATTGTCAGATATCTCTTTCATGCCAATCCAAATTTCTTACCTATTTGTACCCCCCGCCCCCCAAGCTTGAGCATCTTCCCATACTTTGTGGCTGTACAGTGTTGTTGCATATCAGCCATTACTTTACCAATTCTGTGTTCCTTCCCTGGGTTTGTATGAATGTTTCTACTAGTTGGGTACCTGTTAGGGACTTTGGGAGACCTTGTGTATAGAGAAGAGTTTTGTAACTGCATAACTGCCTATTTGATTTGTATAGAGTCTTTATCAGTTGTCTCTGGCTTTAGGGTATATTAGGGACATCTCCGCAAATATCCATATAGTTTCATATCTCAGTAAGTTGTGTCCAGGTTTTTTTTTTTTTTTTTTTTGAGACAGAGTCTCGCTCTGTCGCCCAGGCTGGAGTGCAGTGGTGCAATATCAGCTCACTGCAAGCTCTGCCTCCTGGGTTCACACCATTCTGCTGCCTCAGCCTCCTGAGTAGCTAGGACTACAGGTGCCCACCACGATGCCTGGCTAATTTTTGTATTTTTAGTAGAGAACGGGTTTCACTGTGTTAGCCAGGATGATCTCGATCTCCTGACCTCGTGATCCGTCCACCTCGGCCTCCCAAAGTGCTGGGATTACAGGCGTGAGCCACCGCGCCTGGCCAGTTGTGTCCAGTTTTGTGTGTGTGTGTGTGTGTGTGTGTGTGTGTGTGTGTGTGTGTGAGACGAAGTCTCGCTCTTGTCCCCCAGGCTGGAGTGCAATGGTGCGATCTCGGCTCAATGCAACCTCTGCCTCCTGGGTTCAAGCGATTCTCCTGCCTCAGCCTCCTGAGTAACTGGGATTACAGGCACCTGCCACCACGCCCAGCTAATTTTTGTATTTTTAGTAGAGACGGGGTTTCACCATGTTGCCCAGGCTGGTCTTGAACTCCTGACCTCAGGGGATCCACTCGCCTCAGCCTCCCAAGGTGCTGGGATTACAGGCATGAGCGACCGCGCCCGGCCGTCCAGTTTTTTACATATGTGTGTTGGGCTCTTGAGTTTTTTGTTTGTTTGTTTGTTTTTTAGATGGAATCTTGCTGTGTCACCCAGGCTGGAGTGCAGTGGTACAATTTAGGCTCACTGCAACCTCCGCCTCTTGGGTTCAAGTGATTCTTCTGCCTCATCCTACCTCAGCCTCCTGAATAGCTGGAACTACAGGCCTGCACCACCATGCCCAGCTAATTTTTTTGTATTTTTAGTAGAGATGGTGTTTCGCCATGTTGCCCAGGCTGGTCTCAAACTCCTGAGCTCAAGTGATCCTCCTGCCTTGGCCTCCCAAAGTGCTGGGATTATAGGCATGAGCCACCCTGCCCGGCCAGCTATTGAGTTTTTGTATTTTTGGAGGGGCGGGAGGGCTCTTGAGTTTTTTGTGTTTTGTTTGTTTGTTTATTTGTTTCGTTTTGTTTTGAGACGGAGTCTTGCTCTGTCACCCAGGCTGGAGTGCAGTGGCGCGATCTCCGCTCACTGCAAGCTCTGCCTCCCGGGTTCATGCCATTCTGCTTCAGCCTCCCGAGTAGCTGGGACTACAGGTGCCTGCCACCATGCCCGGCTAATTTTTTGTATTTTTAGTAGAGACTGCGTTTCACCATGTTAGCCAGGATGGTCTCGATCTCCTGACCACGTGATCCGTCTGCCTCGGCCTCCCAGAGTGCTGGGATTACAGGCGTGAGCCACCGTGCCTGGCCAGTTCTTGAGTTTTAACTAGGTCTGCTTTGTGTATTTTTCTGGCTAAGTGTCCCTGTGAGTGTCCATCCCTTCCCCCATCTCCATGTACGGTAATCCCAGCTCATATTTGTGGCCAGGCACCAGCTTTGGCTGCCTTTGTGCCCTCCCAGGCCAGCTTCCTCAACAACCAGCACCTCTGACCTGGATGCCTCAGCTTAGACACATAAACACATTCCATTCCCTGTCCCTGCCTTGTAACAAGTTCACTCCCTGCCTTATCCCTCACAGGAATCCTCAACAGATGCCACTGTAAGTGGGGAGAGAAGCTGCTCAGGTGAGTGGGTCCCACACATACTACACACTAATGCATGAATTCCATATGCACACTACATACTAAAGCCTACTAATGGCAGTATACAGATTCTCACATACACCACCCCACCTAGTAGTAGTAAAGCAACTGCCCTTTACTGAGCACTGGCTAACTGCATTTCATCCTTATAACAGCTTTGTGTAGTAGCTGATATGCATCTCATTTTTTGTTGTCAGCGCAGGTACACATATACCCATTGATGATACACAGACTTGCACACATACAAGCAGCAGGAAAAAACACAAAATGTAAGGCCGGGCACAGTGGCTCACACCTGTAATCCCAGCACTTTGGGGGGCCAAGGTGGGTGAATCACTTGAGGTCAGGAGTTTGAGACCAGCTGGCCAACATGGTAAAGCCCCATCTCTACTAAAATGCAAAAATTAGCCAAGCGTGTTGGTAGGTGCCTGTAATTCCAGCTACTCAGGAGACTAAGGCAGGAGAATCGCTTGAACCCAGGAGGTGGAGGTTGCAGTGAGCCAAGATTGTGCACTGCACTTCAGCCTGGGCAACAGAGTGAGACTCCGTCTCAAAAAAAAAAAAAATGCTAATGTAACACATGGCTATGTTAGCATGGTTATCTTTAGTTATAGAAAACACACTTCACATTTCTGTGATGACTCTCAAATTTGTGTCTCTAGTTTTGAACTCCGTATGTGAATGTTAATTGCATATCACCACCTGCAGTTTTCACAGGCAGCTCAAACTCAGAGCATCCAAACTGATGCCCACCAGATCTGTTCCTCTTCCTGCATTCCCTTTGCTGGTTAATGGCATTGCTGGCAGTACACCTTCTCAAGCCATGAACCTTGGATTGATGCTAGAAACAAAAAACCTGTCATTCCAAAACAGAGATCTAAGCATGTCACTCCTTTTTTTTTTTTTTTTTTTTTGTGACTGAGTTTCGCTCTTGTTGCCCAGGCTGGAGTACAATGGCACGATCTCTGCTCACTGCAACCTCCACTTCCCGGGTTCAAGCAATTCTTCTGCCTCAGCCTCCCAAGTAGCTGGGATTACAGGCGCCCACCACCACACCTGGCTAATTTTTGTATTTTCAGTAGAGGCGGGGTTTCACCATGTTGGTCAGGCTGGTCTCGAACTCCTGGTGATCCGCCCACCTCGGCCTCCCAAAGTGCTGGGATTACAGGCATGAGTCACTGCGCCTGGCCGTCACTCCACTTTTTAAATAGCCTAAGTAGAAAGAAAATAACATAAACCTTAGGAGGTTTTCCCATTACCTTCAGGATTAAGATTAGCATCTTAAGCAGTATAATGATGTTCAGGGTCCATCACGTTTACCCCAGTTTTAATTTCCAGACTCACCTTCCAAAGCCCCTTCTAAGTCCTTTCCTACTGGATCTACCTTATATTCTAGTCATTTAGGGCCACTTGCCATTATGGAAACATGTCATGCCTGTGTTTATGCTGCTCCTTCTGGAAAGTCTTTTTTTTTTTTTTTTGAGACGGAGTCTCCCTCTGTCACCCAGGCTGGAGTGCAGTGGCGCGGTCTTTGCTCACTGCAACCTCCACCTCCCAGGTTCAAGCAATTCTCCTGCCTCAGCCTCCGGAGTAGCTGGGATTACAGGGACCCACCACCATGCCTGGCTAATTTTTGTATTTTTAGTAGAGATGGGATTTCACCATGTTGGCCACGCTGGTCTTGAACTGCTGACCTCGTGATCTGCCCACCTCGGCCTCCCAAAGTGCTGGGATTACAGGCATAAGCCACTGTGCCCGGCCTGGAAAGTCTTTTCCTTGTTCTGTACCTATCAAAATCTTACATCCAGGTCAGGCGCGGTGGCTCACGCCTGTAGTCTCAGCATTTTGGGAGGCTGAGGTGGGTGGATGATTTGAGGTCAGGAGTTCAAGACCAGCCTGGCCAACTTGGTGAAACTTCACGTCTACCGAAAATACAAAAATTAGCCCAGCATCATGGCGCATGCCTCTAGTACCAGCTACTCAGGAGGCTGAGGCAGGAGAATTGCTTGAACTCGGGAGGTAGAGGTTGAAGTGAGCCCAGATTGCCCCACTGCACTCCAGCCTGGGCAACAGAGTGAGATTCTGTCTTAAAAAAAAAAAAAAGTGCATCCTCTTCAAGGTGCAATCCAACTGTTACCCTTTGGCTTTTACAGGTACCTGTAAGGAGTTGATGTGCACCTTCTTTGTGCTCACATAGTGCTTGTTTATGTTTTTCTAGTTGCACTGTCACATCATGTTAGAATTAGCAGTCAGTGAATCTGCTTGCCTCCATAGCTATGAACTCTATCTAGTAGCTATACCTGTTACCTCAGTGTCTGACACATGGTCTTGTACATAGTAGCACTCAATGTGTGAACACAACGCAAATGTAAACGCACTGGTGACATCATCTCTAAACAGAGTGGAAACCTTTGCTAGCCTCAGGTGCACAATCCTTCCCCTACCTCACCTCCCGCTGCAATGTGTATCTTGTAGGAGTTAATTTAGGATAATCTCTGAGGTCATCTCCAGGTAATCAGCATCTCCAGGAATCGGCAGGGTAATTTAATTACCCACACATTCTTCAGTGCTTCAGGTGCAGATCTTTAATCTCAGCCACAGATGGGAGGGAGAGAATTCTCAGTGGAGAAGAGAGCTGGATTTAAGGTCGGGGAGGAATGCGTATTCCCCAAATGGAATCAGACAGGGCATGAGATCATATAACTTGAAGAATCATCATATAATCTAATGAACTAAGGACAGGTGACATATTTATTAATATTTCTGTATACGAATTTATTTTAATTTATTAGGAAATACCTCTAACGTACAAAAAGATGTAAATAATAATATAGGGCCAGATGTGGTGGCTCACGCCTATAATCCCAGCATTTGGGAGGCTGAGGCAGGAGGATTGCTTGAGGCCAGGAGTTCAAGAACTAAAAGCTGTACAGGCACCAAGAATATGACTGAATGTCACAGTATGCTCTAAAGGGCACTGTCCTAGGAGTCTGGAGACATGATTTTGAGACTTAGCTGTTCTCATTGGCGGTATGACTTTGGGCAAGTTGCTTATCTTTTAACGGTTTCATTTTCTCAGTTGTTAAATTTACAGTTTGGTTTAACTAAAGTCTCTCCCAGTACGAGCAGGGCGTGAGTCAGAGATACCTAAGTGTTTAGTGCAGCGCATGTGCTTTCTAAAGTGGGGATGGCTATTTACAGACTGGCCTACACTGTTCTGGTGGGAGCCCTCAGTGACCAAGGAGCAGAGGTACCTGAAACCCACCCTTGAAGCCATCTGGATGCTCCGCTTCATTCAAATCTGGGGTGTTCTAACCCAAAGTAACTGGCCACAGACTGCAATGTAAGATACAAATCTTCAGGACCTAGTGTGTGCACATGTTGGCTCTTATATAAGATGGCATCCTTAGTACTTGTTCTATGTAGAAAAGAATTTGTGGGCTCACAAGTCCCTACAGAGTCTCACACTCTCATGGCCAATAAGTATACAGGGATACCCGGAATTAGACAAACACAGATGAGACATTTATTTCTGTATATGAATTTATTTTATTTATTTATTTATTTTTTGAGACAGAGTCTCACTCTGTCACCCATCCTGGAGTGCAGTGGCCTGGCTCATTGCAAGCTCCACCTCCCGGGTTTACACCATTCTGCCTCACCCTCCCGAGTAGCTGGGACTATAGGTGCCCGCCAACACGCCCGGCTAATTTTGTTGTGTTTTTAGTAGAGACGGGGTTTCACCGCGTTAGCCAGGATGGTCTTGATCTCCTGACCTCGTGACCCGCCCTCCTTGGCCTGCCAAAGTGCTGGGATTACAGGCGTGAGCCACCGCACCTGGCCTGAATTTATTTTCATTTATTAGGAAATACCTCCAACACACAAAAAGATGTAAATAATTAGCCGGGCGTGGTGGCTCATGACTGTAATCCCAGCACTTTGGGAGGCCGAGGCAGGTGGAACACCAGAGGTCCGGAGTTTGAGACCAGGCTGGCC
>NT_167246.2:3145833-3168651 GCF_000001405.40 Homo sapiens
GGGTGGTTTCGAACTCCTGACCTCAAATGATGTGCCTGGCCAGAACATTACCAATAACTTTGAAACAAACCTGTCTGATTCAATTTCTCTTTTTCTTCTTCCTACTTGGAGAATTAACTGGGTATATCATCCTCTGGCTTTTCTTAATAGTTTTACTGAGTGCATTGCTAAACAATATCATTTTAATTTTGCGTATCTTTTGAACTTTGTAAAAATGGAATGATTCACCAGACACGAGACAACATTTTTCTTTTTTGGGGGGATGGAGTCTTGCACTGTCGCCCAGGCTAGAGTGCAGTGGCGTGATCTCGACTCATACTGCAATCTCTGCCTCCCAGGTTCACCCCATTATTCTGCCTGGGCCTCCCAAATCACTGGGACTACAGGTGCCCGCCACCATGCCCCGCTAATTTTTTGTATTTCTAGTAGAGATGGGGGTTTCACCATGTTGGCCAGGCTGGTCTCGAACTCCCGACCTTGTGATTTGCCCACCTTGGACTCCCAAAGTGCTGGCATTACAAACAGCCACCATGCTGGCCCATTTTTCATTTTTCAAAAAGAATAAATCTTCATGTGTTCTACTGCAACTTTCTGCTTTTCTGGGGGGCGGGGGGGACAGAGTCTTGCTCTGTCGCCAGGCTGGAGTGCAGTGGCGCGATAGCTCACTGCAACCTCCACCTCCCAGGTTCAAGCGATTTCTCCTCCCTCAGCCTCCCGAGTAGCTGGGACCACAGGCGCGCACCACTATGCCCAGCTAATTTTTGTATTTTTACTAGAGACGGGGTTTCACCACATTGGCCAGGGTGGTCTCCAACTCCTAGCCTCACCGTCCGCCCGCCTCGGCCTCCTGAAATGCTGGGATTACAGGCGTGAGCCACCACGCCTGACATTTACTTATTTCATTTATCTTTGAGATGGAGTCTCGCTCTGTCGCCCAGGCAGCATGTAGTGGCGCGATCTCGGCTCACTGCAAGCTCTGCCTCCCAGGTTCAAGCCATTCTCCTGCCTCAGCCTCCGGAGTAGCTGGGACTACAGGTGCCCGGCTAATTTTTTTGTATTTTTAGTAGAGACGGGTTTCATTGTGTTAGCCAGGATGGTCTTGGATCTCCTGACCTCGTGATCCGCCCGCCTTGGCCTCCCAAAGTGCAGGGATTACAGGCGTGAGCCATCGCGCCCAGCCTTTTTTGTTTTTTGAGACATAGTTTTGCTCTTGTTCCCCAGGCTGGAGTGCAGTGGCACTATCTTGGCTCACCACAACCTCTGCCTCCTGGGTTCAAGCGATTCTCCTGCCTTAGCCTGCCAAGTAGCTGGGATTATATGCCACCACGCCCGGCTAATTTTGTATTTTTATTAGAGATGGGGTTTCTCCATGTTGGTCGGGCTGGTCTCCCGAACTTAGGTGATCCGCCAGCCTCAGCCTCTGAAAGTGAAAGTGCTGTGATTCTAGGCCAGAGCCACCACACCTGGCCTGCAACTTTTGTTGTTGTTCATGTATTTTCCTGTAGTTCATTTGGAGTCCACCCTTCCATACACATTTGTGGACATAAAAAACTTCAGGGCCTGGCATGGTGGCTCATGCCCGTAATCGCAGCTGAGGCGGACAGATCACCTGAGGTCAGGGGTTAGGGACCAGCCTGGCCAACATGGTGAAACCCCATCTCTACTAAAAAAAATATAAAAAAGGGCCAGGCTCATGCCTGTAATCCCAGCACTTTAGGAGGCCGAGGCGGGCAGATCACGAGGTCAGGAGATCAAGACCATCCTGTCTAACACGGTGAAACCCCGTCTCTACTAAAAATACAAAAATCAGCCGGGCGTGGTGGCGGGCGCCTGTAGTCCCAGCTCCTCGGGAGGCTGAGGCAGGAGAATGGCGTGAACCCGGGAGGTGGAGCTTGCAGTGAGTCAAGATCCCGCCACTGCACTCCAGCCTGCGCGACAGAGTGAGACTCCATCTCAATTAGGGCCAGGCATGGTGGCTCACGCCTGTAATCCCAGCACTTTGGGAGGCCGAGGCAGGTGGATCACCTAAGGTCAGGAGTTCGAGACCAGCCTGGCCAACATGGCAAAACCCTGTCTCTACTAAAAATACAAAAATAAATTAGCCAGGTGTGGTGGCACACGCCTGTAATCCCAGCGACTCGGGAGGCTGACGCAGGAGAATCACTTGAACCTGGCAGGCGGAGGTTGCAGTGAGCTGAGATCATGCCATTATGCTCTAGCCTGGGCAACAAGAATGAAACTACATCTCAAAATACATACATACATACATACAGTTAACCGAGCATGGTGGCATGCGCCTGTAAGCCCAGCTACTTGGGAGGCTGAGGCATGAGAATCGCTTGAACCTGAGAGGTGGAGGTTGCAGTGAACCAAGATGGCACCACTGCACTCCAGCCTGGGTGACAGAGTGAGACTGTTTCAAAAAGATTCAGGAGCCAGACTGAACACTTACTGCTAGGTTAACTTTGGCTAAGTTCCTCAGTGATTCCCATAACAATTTCCTTGTTTGTAAATAGATAACAGAGTTCCTACCCACCCTCTTTTTTTTTTTTTTCTTCAGTAGTAGAGATAGGGTTTCACCATGTTGGCCAGGCTGGTCTCAAACTCCTGACTCCAGGTGATTCACCCACCTCCCAAAGTGTTGGGATTACAGGTGTGAGCCACTGCACCGGGCCTACCCTCTCTTTTTTTTGAGACAGGGTGTCACTGTTGCCCAGGCTCGAGTACAGTGGCAAGATTACAGCTCACTACAGCCTTGACCTCCTGGGCTCAAGTGATCCTCCCACCTCAGCCTCTGAAGTAGCTGGAACTACAGGTGCTCCATCATGCCCAGCTAATTTTTTTTTCTTTTTGAAAGAGAATCTTGCTTTGTCGCCCAAGTTGGAGTGCAGTGGTGCAATCTCGGCTCACTGCAAGCTCCACCTCCTGGGTTCACACCATTCTCCTGCCTCAGCCTCCCGACTAGCTGGGACTACAGGCACCCACCACCACGGCCAGCTAATTTTTTGTATTTTTAGTAAAGATGGGGTTTCACCGTGTTAGCCAGGATGGTTTCGATCTCCTGACCTCGTGATCCACCTGCCTTGGCCTCCCAAAGTGCTGGGATTACAGGCGTGAGCTACCGTACCTGACCTTTTTTTTTTTTTTTTGAGACGGAGTCTTGCTCTGTCACCCAGGCTGGAGTGCAGTGGCGCGATCTTGGCTCACTGCAAGCTCTGCCTCTCAGGTTCACGCCATTCTCCTGCCTCAGCCTCCCGAGTAGCAGGAACTACAGGTGCTAGCCACCACGCCTGGCTAATTTTTTTGTATTTTAGGTAGAGACGAGGTTTCACCGTGTTAGCCAGGATGGTCTCGATCTCCTGACCTCATGATCTACCTGCCTCGGCCTCCCAAAGTGCTGGGATTACAGGTGAGCCACCGCGCCCAGCCATGCCCAGCTAATTTTTAAATTTTTTATACAGTGAAGGTTTCACTATATTGCCTGACTGGTGTCTAACTCCTGAAATCAAATGATCTACCTGCTTTGGCCTCCCCAAATGCTGAGATTACAAGCTTGAGCCACCAAGCCCGGCCTATCCCGTCTCTAACAAAAAAGAAGCATAGTGCGGTGGCTCACACCTGCAACCCCAGCACTGTGGGAGGCCATGGTGGGCAGATCTCTTGAACCCAGGAGTTTGAGACCAGTCTGCCTGGGCAACACGGTGAAATCCAGTTCCTACAAAAAATTTTAAAAATTAGCCGGTTGTGATGGCATGCCGTGGTTCAGCTACTTGGGAGGCTGAGATGGGAGAATTGCTTGAGCCCTGGAAGTTGAGGCTGCAGTGAGCCATGATTGTGCCACTGCACTCCAATCTGGGCAACAGAGTGAGCCTTATCTCTAAATAAATAAATGAAGAGGTAGAGTCATGCTCTGTTGCCCAGGTCTGACTTGAACTCCTGGGCTGAAGTGATCCTCCCGCCTCAGCTTCCTCAGTAGCTGGGGCAACAGGCATATGCCACCATACTCAGCTTTGTTGGTTTCATTTCTTGTCCCCAAGGGTCTCTTCTGCATTCCCCTGCCCTTTGTATGGTTCAAGTCCTCCCCTGTGTGGTGGGTGCTAATCCCAGGTTTGGGGTATAAGACTGAGCTACAGCCATGGTAAGATGGTCACGTGAACTTCTTTTCTCACACAGTGGTGATGCTGAAAGACCTCAACCCCAAAATGCTATTTTCCTCATTTCTTTTTTTTTTTTTTTGAGACGGAGTCTCGCTCTGTCGCCCAGGCTGGAGTGCAGTGGCGCGATCTCGGCTCACTGCAAGCTCCGCCTCCCGGGTTCACGCCATTCTCCTGCCTCAGCCTCCCGATTAGCTGGGAATACAGGCGTCCACCACTACACCCGGCTAATTTTTTGTATATTTAGTAGAGACGGGGTTTCACCGTGTTAGCCAGGATGGTCTCGATCTCCTGACCTCGTGATCCACCCGCCTTGGCCTCCCAAAGTGCTGGGATTACAGGCGTGAGCCACCGCCGGCCTATTTTCCTCATTTCTTTAGGCCCCATTTCCATACCAGGAGTGGAGCAACTTCAGTAATAAACAGTCCTCCTTCCCATCCTCCCAGGCTGAACTCCCCAGCTTGCAGTTACTCTAATAGCGGCTAGCCTGCTACTTCAGCTACTGTAGGCAGTGAGCCTCCTAAGGCTTGGCCTCAGCCTGTCTCCCCACAGAAATGGGAGACAAGAATCCTTGGAATCCTTACCCACTGGCCAGTGTGCTGGCCCTCCAGGTGACACCTCTACCTGCCAGTTGCTTAGGCTAGACCCTTGGAATCTGCCTGACTGCTCTCCTGTTCTCACATGCTACATCTAATTTGTCAGCAAATCATACTGTCTGTATCTTAGAAATGACACGAGGATCTGTGTCTCACACCTTTACTGCTGCTCCATCCTGGTGGGAGCCACCATTGGCTCTCACCTAGACAACTGCAACTGTCTCCTACCTGGTCTCCTGGCTTCCACTTTTGCCCGTTACAGGCTCTCTCCACACAGCAGCCAGAAGGTTCCTTCCAAATCAGGAGTCAGGTCATGTCTCCCCTCTTCTGAAGATCCTGTAACAGCTGCCATTTCACTCAGAGTAAAAGTCTCCATCTTACAAGGGCCACCCAACAAGGTCCTCCCAGTCTAGCTCTGTCAACTTTCTGACCTCATCTTCTACACCTGAGGTCAGGGGTTGGGGACCAGCCTGGCCAACATGGTGAAACCCCATTTCCACTCTGCTTCAGCCATGCTACAGAAACCCAGGAGCTGCTTGGAGCTCTTTTGTCAGTGTTCGAGGAGTAAAATTTCTACCCATTGGCCAGAGTCACAGCCGCAGGCTTTGTGGGGTACACCCAAACCTGCACCAACAGAACTCATGGATGAAATTTGCATCTTTTGGGTTGTGAGGAAATTCTAGAGCCCAGAAATAACCTTAAAAACTTTTGGGGCTGGGTGCAGTGTCTCATGCCTGTAATTCCAGCGCTTTGGGAGGCCGAAGCAGGTGGATCACTTGAGGCCAGGAGTTTGAGACCAACCTGGTCAACATGGCGAAACCCTGTCTCTACTAAAAATACAAAAATTAGCCAAGTGTGGTGGTGCACACCTGTAATCCCAGATACTCTGATGGCTGAGGCATGAGAATTGCTTGAACCCAGGAGGTGGAGGTTGCAGTGAGCCAAGATTGAACCCCTGCACTCCAGCCTGGGCAAAAGCATGAGACTCTGTCTCAAAAAAAACAAAACCAACAACTAGTGGTACGTAATGTTTACATATTAGTTGTATGTAACATTAATATATGTTTACATACTGGTAGTATGTAAGCATATGTAATGTGCCTGGCCTCTCATTTCTTATTTTTGCATG
Organism: Homo sapiens; assembly: GCF_000001405.40. Lineage (NCBI taxonomy): Eukaryota > Metazoa > Chordata > Mammalia > Primates > Hominidae > Homo > Homo sapiens. The sequence continues at coordinate 3,151,713 of NT_167246.2, forward strand.
TCTGAAATATTTCTTAGTATCTTAAAAACATAGCTTGGGGGCTGGGTATGGTGACTCATGCCTGTAATCCCAGCACTTTGGGAGGCCAAGGTGGGAGGATCACCTGAGCCCAGGAGTTCGAGACCAGCCTGGGTAATATTGCAAGACACCATCTCTAAAAATAAAAACCAAAAAAAACAACAAAGATACACAATAAACAAGATAAACAGCAGACCAACTAAATGAAGAATTAGTGAGTTGGAGGGAGAAATAATCCATAATGTGGAGCAGAGAAATCAGAGGTGATATGAAAAGGAAGTTTTGAAACATGAAGGATGGAATGAGATACTCCAACTCCAGAGCTGCTTTGTTTTTGTTTTTGAGATGGGAGTCTTGCTCTGTTGCCCAGGCTGGAGTGCAGTGGCATGATCTCAGCTCACTGCAACCTACGCCTCCCAGGTTCAAGCGATGCTCCTGACTCAGCCTCCTGAGTAGCTGGGATTACAGGTGGTGCCACCACGTCTGGATAATTTTTGTATTTTTAGTAGAGACAAGGTTTCACCGTGTTGGTCAGGTTGGTCTTGAACTCCTGACCTTGTGATTCACCTGCCTCGCCCTCCCAAAGTGCTGGGATTACAGGCGTGAGCCACTGCACCCAGCCTACTTTGTTTGTTACATGGATTTGTTACCTGCAGCCAGAACAGCCACAGAGCCATCATGAGCTCTGCTGCCCAATGGCGTACAGGGGTACCTGGTTTTTAGCATCTCAGGCCCATCTGTTAGTTTGTTGATTGTAGTACTTTCTTTTCATTAGCATTCTACTTTCCCATGACTTTTTTTGGGGGGGAGTGGGGTGGACAGGGTCTCACTGTGTTGTCCAGGCTGTAGTGCACTGGAGCCATCTTGGCTCACTGCAGCCTCTGCCTCCTGAGCCACCAAGCCTGGCTGTTTTTTTTTTTTTTTTTTTAATTCTTGTGTTATTTTCCAAAGACTATATAAAGAAACAAATTATCCTAAGGGTTAAAGTACCTGCTGACTCTTGAAATGTTAAACTTTATTGCCTCCAGTCAGGTGAACCTCAGGTGGAAGTGGGTCACATTCTAGGCTGGCTGTTGCCTGTCTTAAATTCTAAAGAATGTAGTGAAGATAAAGGTGTCAGCTGATAATCCCCAGTTATTTACTGATGGCAGATAATAAACTGGGAAGGGGGAGCCTTCTTCAAAGGGCCTTGCAGCATTAGCTGGTACCACCTTGAAACAGGGAGCAAGTCCCATCTCCTAGTGCCACCCAGGGAATACCTGTGCTCCACACTGGGTTGATTGCCTCTAAAAGAGGCAGAGGAACTGTTATAAAACAAAAAAAAAACTTTTAAAAGTTTTGGTTGGGCGTGGTGGCTAATGTCTGTAATCCCAGTACTTTGGGAGGTCAAGGCAGGAGGATTGCTGGAGTGCAGGAGTTTGAGGCCAGCCTGGGCGGAGACCACTTCTCTACAAAATTAAAAAATTAGGTGTACTCCCAAGCACCTGTAGTCCCAGCTACTTGGGAGGCTGAGATGGAAGGATCACTTGAGCCCAGAAGGTCGAGGCTACAGAGCCATGATTGTTCCACTCACTGCTCTCCGGCCTGTGCGACAGACCAAGACCCTGTATCTAAAAGGAAGAAAAAAGAAAATTGGCAAAAACAATGATATTAGCATCTGTATGTACTTATATTTGGTAGGATCATTTCAAAGTATATTAAAGAGATTATGACATTTTATCCCTTTGTATTTGAGTATGCATCTCCAAAAAATAAGGATGTTCATCTGCATATTCACAATACTATTATACCTGAGAAAAGCAAATTTAATTCCCTAATAGCACTTAATATTCAGGCCAGTTACCATGGCTCACACCTGTAGTCCCAGCACTTTGGAAGGCCGAGGTTGGTGGATTGCTTGAGCCCAGGAGTTCAAGACCAGCCTGGGCAACATGTCGAGACCTCGTGTCTTCAAAAAATACAAAAATTAGCAGGTGTGGTGGCACACACCTGTGGTTCCAACCACTCATGGGGCTGAGGTGGGAGGATTGCTTGAGCCTGGGAGGTCAAGGCTGAAGTGAGCTATGATTGCAGTACTGCACTCCAGGCTGGGTGACAGAGTGAGACCCTGTCTTTAAAAGAAGTGTGTTGTTGAGCACAGTGGCTCACGGCTGTAATCCCAGCACTTTGGGAGGCGGAGGCAGGTGGATCACCTGAGGTCAGGAGTTTGAGACCAGCCTGGCCAACATGGAGAAACCCCATCGCTACTAAAAATACAAAAATTAGCCGGGTGTGGTGGTGAACACCTGTAATCCCAGCTACTCTTGAGAATCTGAGGCAGGAGAATTACTTGAATCTGGGAGTCGGAGGTTGCAGTGAGCCGAGATCATGCCACTGCACTCTAGCCTGGGTGACAGAGCGAGACTCTGTCTCAAAAAAAAAAAAAAAAAAAAGTGTGTGTGTGAGTGTGGCTGGGGGGAGAGAGTGAGAGAGTAGAGGAGGAAAAAGTTTAAAACAGTTTGGGAGTTTGGAGAGTTTTTCGTGAAACACAGACTCATCAACCTTTTTATTTTTTCACTCTAATTTTTTTTTTCTTCAGACAGAGTCTTGCTCTGTTTCCCAGGCTGGAGTGCAGTGGCACCATCTCAGCTCACTGCAAGCTCTGCCTTCCAGGTTCACTCCATTCTCCTGCTTCAGCTTCCCAAGTAGCTGGGACTACAGGCTCCCGCCACCACGCCCGGCTAATATTTTGTATTTTTAGTAGAGACAGTGTTTCACCGTGTTAGCCAGGAGGTCTGGATCTCCTGACCTTGTGATCCGCCCGCCTTGGCCTCCCAAAGTGCTGGGATTACAGGCATGAGCCACCGTGCCCGGCCTAAAAAAATTTTTTATAAAAGTATTTGACCTAATGTGCTGTGGGTTTCTTATTTGTTTGTTTTTGAGACAAGTTTCTTGCCCTGTCGCCCAGGTTTGAGGGCAGTGGTGCGGTCTTGGTGCACTACAGCCTCTACCTCCTGGGCTCAAGTGACCCTCTCACCTCAGCTTCCCATGTAGCTGAAACTACAGGTGTGGGCCACTGCCCCAGCTAATTTTTAAATTTTTTGTAGAGATGAGGTCTTGCCATGTTGCCCAGGCTGGTCTCAAACTCCTGGGCTCAAATGATCTGCCCGTCTTGGCCTTCCAAAGTACTGGGACTGGGATTACAGGCATGTAATTACCGCCTCTGGCCAGCTTTTTTTTTTTTTTTTTTTTTTTGAGACAGAGTCTCGCTCTTGTTGCCGAGGCTGGAGTGCAGTGGCGTGATCTCGGCTCACTTCAGCCTTCCCCTCTCGGGTTCAAGCGATTCTCCTGCCTCAGCCTCCTCAGTAGCTGGCATTACAGGCATGCACTACCACGCCTGGCTAATTTTTGTATTTTTAGTAGAGACGGGGGTTTCACCATGTTGGCCAGGCTGGTCTTGAACTCCTGACCTCAGGTGATCCGCCCGCCTTGGCCTCCCCAAAGTGCTGGGTGGCGTGAGCCACTGTGCCCAGCCTAATTTTGTATTTTTAGTAGAGACTGGGTTTCTCCATGTTGGTGAGGCTGGTCTTGAACTCCTGACCTCAGGTGATTCGCCTGCCTTGGCCTCCCAAAATGCTGGGATTACAGACATGAGCCACCGCGCCCGGCCTCTTTTTTTTTTTTTTTTGGGACAGAGTCTCACTGTGTCACCAGGCTGGAGTGCAGTGGCATGATCTCGGCTTACTGCAACCTCTGCCTCCCAGGTTCAAGCGATTCTTCTGCCTCAGCCTCCCGAGTAGCTGAGACTACAGGGGCATGCCACCACACCCGGCTAATTTTTGTATTTTTAGTAGAGACCAGCCTGGTCAACATGGTGAAAACCCATCTCTACTAAAAATACAAAAAATTAGCCAGGTGTGGTGGTGGGCACCTATAATCCCAAATACTCAGGAGGCTGAGGCAGGAGAATCACTTGAACCTGGGACACGGAGGTTGCAGTGAGTTGAGATCACGCCACTGCACTCCAGCCTGCCTGGGCAACAGAGCAAGACTCTGTCTCAAAAAAAAAAAAAATCCCAGAGTATTAGGAAAAGGAAGACCTATACTTCTACTATGGTAATTTGAGTCTGTTGTGGTTTTGTTGTTGTTGTTGTTGTTGTTGGAAAGATGTCCAAGCCATTGCTTTGATCTTCCTTCCCAATCCTTTCTTGGGCAAAAATTATTAGATGGCTATGGGTGGGCAGGCCTGTAACTCTAGCACTTTGGGAGGCCGAGCGGGTGGGGTGGTCAAGGATCACTTGAGCCCAGGAGTTTAAGACCAGCCTGGGCAACATAGTGGGACCCTGTTTCTACAAAAATGAAAATATTAGCTGGGCTTGGTGGCAAGTGCCTGTAGTCCCAGCTACTCAGGAGGCTGAGGTGGGAAGATTGCTTGAACCCAGGTGGTCAAGGTTGCAGTGAGCTGTGATCATGCTACTGCACTCCAGCCTGGGTGACAGAGTAAGACCCTGTCTCAAAAAAAAAAAAAAATACTTTTTCCTATTCCCTCCTTGTCATGACTTTTGGTTGGAAGGATTACATTAGCAAAAAAGTATCCATGGTCCCTGGTCCCTGGTATTTGCTGTTCAGGTCAGTGTTCATTGTTACTGTCTCTTTCCCTTATTTAAGGGACAGCTGAGAAGACAGAGAGAGCTTGAGCTGGTTTGATCCTAAGCAAAGGGGCTGGGAGTGGGGATCAATGTGTGAAGGGAAGGAGGGCCATGCAAGGTGAAAGGGGATGTTGGGGAAAGGGTTTCATGCTAGAATTTGGCTGCTGATCCAGCGGGCACTCACCAGGCAATGATGTGCAAAGTCCACCGTAAAAAGAAAACAAAACTTCAGGACTCTAAGTTTATGCCAAGATGGAAGTTAAGCCTTGGAGACTGAGTCATGTAGCATGTTTGCAATTCTGCTTCTTACAGACTCTCCTCCTCATTGCTCTTGTTCTGTAATGAGACCTCCTTTCCAATCACTGATCTTTGTTGTAGATTAACTGCCTCCTTTATTGTCCTGTACCTGACTCAGACCAGATGGCACCCAAGACCCCATGACTATTGCATCTTCAGTGTGGAATGTAAAAAACACCTTCCCCCACCCCCCAAAAAAGAAAAAAAAAATTGACTAATCAGATCATTGTAACTATGCAATAAGCCTTACCATAGAACTGAGAGTTGACAGCGTGCTGACAGCCCTCGCAGCCCTTGCTGGCTCTCGGCGCCTCCTCGGCCTTGGCGCCCATTCTGGCCGCGCTTGAGGAGCCCTTCAGCCCGCCACTGCACCGTGGGAGCCTTCTCTGGGCTGGCCGAGGCCGGAGCCGGCTCCCTCGGCTTGCGGGGAGGTGTGGAGGGAGAGGCGCGGGCGGGAACCGGGGCTGCACGCAGCGCTTGTGGGCCAGCGCAAGTTCCGGGTGGGCGTGGGCTCGGCTGCCCCGCTCTTGGAGCGGCAGGCTGGCCCACAAGCCCCGGGCAGGGCAGTGAGGGGTTTAGCACCTGGGCCAGCAGCTTGCTGTGCTCGATTTCTCACGGGGCCTTAGCTGCCTCACCACAGGACAGGACTCAGGACCTGCAGCCCGCCATGCCTGAGCCCCAACCCCGCCGTGGGCTCCTGTGCTGCAGAGCCTCCCCGACGAGCGCCACCCCCTGCTCCACGGCCCCCAGTCCCATCAACCTCCCAAGGGCTGAAGAGTGCAGGCGCATGGGGCAGGACTGGCAAGCAGCTCCACCTGCGGCCCCAGTGCGGGATCCACTGGGTGAAGCCAGCTGGGCTCCTGAGTGTGGTGGGGACTTGGAGAACCTTTATGTCTAGCTAAGGGATTGTAAATACACCAATCGGCACTCTGTATCTAGCTCAAGGTTTGTAAATATACCAATCAGCATCCTGTGTCTAGCTCAGGGTTTGTAAATGCACCAATCGACACTGTATCTAGCTAATCTAGTGAGGACATGGAGAACTTTTGTGTCTAGCTCAGGGATTGTAAACGCACCAATCAGCACCCTGTCAAAATGGACCAATCAGCTCTCTGTAAAACGGACCAATCAGCTCTCTGTAAAATGGACCAATCAGCAGGATGTGGGTGGGGCCAGATAAGGGAATAAAAGCAGGCTGCCTGAGTGAGTAGTGACATCCCACTCTGGTCATTTTCCATAGAGTGGAAAGTTTGTTATTTCCGTCTTTGCAATAAATTTTATTGCTATTTGTTCTTTGGGTCCACACTACTTTTATGAGGTGTAACACTCACCGCAGGGGTATGCAGTTTCACTCCTGACGCTAGCGAGAGCACGAACCCCCCGGGAGGAACAAACAACTCCAGAGGCGCCGCATTTAAGAACTGTAACACTCCCCGTGAGGGTCTGCGGCCTCATTCTTTAAATCAATGAGACCAAGAACCCACCAATTGTGAACACAGAACAATGTTGAAATTCTAAGTTTCCATAAACTTTCTGTTTATATAAGCGATTCCAAACTTCTACACTTTTGGAACATAGACTAATATTCTTTGGAATCTTCAGCTCTAGACGGGCCACTTCCTCAACATTTGCAGTTGGATAAACTCTTTTTTTTTTTTTTTTTTTTTTTTTAAATTTATTTTTTTATTGATAATTCTTGGGTGTTTCTCACAGAGGGGGATTTGGCAGGGTCATGGGACAATAGTGGAGGGAAGGTCAGCAGATAAACAAGTGAACAAAGGTCTCTGGTTTTCCTAGGCAGAGGACCCTGCGGCCTTCCGCAGTGTTTGTGTCCCTGATTACTTGAGATTAGGGATTGGTGATGACTCCCAACGAGCACCCTGCCTTCAAGCATCTGTTTAACAAAGCACATCTTGCACCGCCCTTAATCCATTTAACCCTGAGTGGACACAGCACATGTTTCAGAGAGCACAGGGTTGGGGGTAAGGTCACAGATCAACAGGATCCCAAGGCAGAGGAATTTTTCTTAGTGCAGAACAAAATGAAAAGTCTCCCATGTCTACTTCTTTCTACACAGACACGGCAACCATCCGATTTCTCAATCTTTTCCCCACCTTTCCTGCCTTTCTATTCCACAAAGCCGCCATTGTCATCCTGGCCCGTTCTCAATGAGCTGTTGGGCACACCTCCCAGACGGGGTGGTGGCCGCGCAGAGGGGCTCCTCACTTCCCAGTAGGGGCGGCCGGGCAGAGGCGCCCCTCACCTCCCGGACGGGGCGGCTGGCCGGGCGGGGGGGCTGACCCCCCCCACCTCCCTCCCGGACGGGGCGGCTGGCCGGGCGGGGGGCTGACACCCCCACCTCCCTCCCGGACGGGGCGGCTGGCCGGGCAGAGGGGCTCCTCACTTCCCAGTAGGGGCGGCCGGGCAGAGGCGCCCCTCACCTCCCGGACGGGGCGGCTGGCCGGGCGGGGGGGCTGACCCCCCCCACCTCCCTCCCGGACGGGGCGGCTGGCCGGGCGGGGGGCTGACACCCCCACCTCCCTCCCGGACGGGGCGGCTGGCCGGGCAGAGGGGCTCCTCACTTCCCAGTAGGGGCGGCCGGGCAGAGGCGCCCCTCACCTCCCAGACGGGGCGGCTGGCCGGGCGGAGGGCTGACCCCCCCACCTCCCTCCCGGACAGGGCGGCTGGCCAGGCGGGGGGCTGACCCCCCCACCTCCCTCCCGGACCGGGCGGCTGGCCGGGTGGGGGGGCTGACCCCCCCATCTCCCTCCCGGACGGGGTGGCTGGCCGGGCTGAGGGGCTCCTCACTTCCCAGTAGGGGTGGCCGGGCAGAGGCACCCCTCACCTCCCGGACGGGGCGGCTGGCCGGGCGGGGGGCTGACCCCCCCACCTCCCTCCCGGACGGCACGGCTGGCCAGGTGGGGGGCTGACCCCCCCACCTCCCTCCCGGATGGCACGGCTGGCCGGTCGGGGGGGCTGACCCCCCACCTCCCTCCCAGATGGGGCGGCTGGCCGGGCGGGGGGTTGACCCCCCCCACCTCCCTCCCGGACGGGGTGGCTGCCGGGCGGAGATGCTCCTCACTTCCCAGATGGGGTGGCTGCGGGGCGGAGAGGCTCCTCACTTCTCAGACGGGGCAGTTGCCGGGCGGAGGGGCTCCTCACTTCTCAGACGGGGTGGTTGCCAGGCAGAGGGTCTCCTCACTTCTCAGACGGGGCGGCCGGGCAGAGACGCTCCTCACCTCCCAGACGGGGTCTCGGCCGGGCAGAGGCACTCCTCACATCCCAGATGGGGCGGCGGGGCAGAGGCGCTCCCCACATCTCAGACGATGGGCGGCCGGGCAGAGACGCTCCTCACTTCCTAGATGTGATGGCGGCTGGGAAGAGGCGCTCCTCACTTCCTAGATGGGATGGCGGCCGGGCGGAGACGCTCCTCACTTTCCAGACTGGGCAGCCAGGCAGAGGGGCTCCTCACATCCCAGACGATGGGCGGCCAGGCAGAGACGCTCCTCACTTCCCAGACGGGGTGGCGGCCGGGCAGAGGCTGCAATCTCGGCACTTTGGGAGGCCAAGGCAGGCGGCTGGGAGGTGTAGGTTGTAGTGAGCCGAGATCACGCCACTGCACTCCAGCCTGGGCACCATTGAGCACTGAGTGAACGAGACTCCGTCTGCAATCCCGGCACCTCGGGAGGCTGAGGTTGGCGGGATCACTCGCGGTTAGGGGCTGGAGACCTGCCCGGCCAACACAGCGAAACCCCGTCTCCACCAAAACCAGTCAGGCATGGCGGCGCGTGCCTGCAATGGCAGGCACTGGGCAGGCTGAGGCAGGAGAATCAGGCAGGGAGGTTGCAGTGAGCCGAGATGGCAGCAGTACAGTCCAGCTTCGGCTCCGCATGAGAGGGAGACCGTGGGGAGAGGGAGACAGAGGGAGAGGGAGGGAGAGCCGGTGGATAAACTCTTTAAACTAGATTCTAAGCCTGGTACAGTGGTATGTGCCTGCAGTCCCAACTCTATCTACTCTAGGAGGCTGAGGCAGGAGGATCCCTTGAACTTCAGTCTGAATCTAACCTGGGCAACATGGCAAGACTCCATCTGTAAAAAGCAACAACACTAGATTCTCAGCTTTTGTTCGTTTGTTTAAGACAGTCTCGCTGTGTCTCCCAGACTGGAATGCAATGGTATGATCTTGGCCCACTGTAACCTCTCGCTCCCGGGTTCAAGCGATTCTCCTTCCTCAGTCTCCTGAATAGCTGGGACTACAGGCGCGACCCACAACACCCAGCTAATTTTTGTATTTTTGGTAGAGACGGGGTTTCGTCATGTTGACCAGGATGGTCTTGAACTCCTGACTTCAGGTGATTCGCTTGCCTCTGCCTCCCAAAGTGCTGGGATTATAGGTGTGAGCCACAGCGCCTGGCCTAGATTCTGAACTTTTTAATTATTATTTTTTAGATTGATAACACTTACCCCGATTTTTTTTTTTTTGAGGGAGAGTCTCGCTCCATAGCCCAGGCTGGAGTGCAGTGGCATGATTTCAACTCACTGCAATCTCCGTCTCCCAGGTTCAAGCGATTCTCCTGCCTTAGTCTCCTGAGTAGCTGGGATTGTAGGTGCCTGCCACAATGCCTGGCTAATTTTTTGAATTTTTAGTAGAGACAGTGTTTCACCATGTTGGCCAGACTGGTCTTGAACTCCTGACCTCAAGTGATCCCCCTTCCTCAGCCTCCCAAAGTGCTAGGATTACAGGCGTGAGCCACCGTGCCCAGCCAACTTGCCCCAATTTTTAAATAACTTATTTTATTTTATTTTTTAAATATTTCCTTGGCCGGGTGGGGTGGCTCACACCTGTAATCCCGGCACTTTGGGAGGCCGAGGCGGGCGTATTGCCTGAGGTCAGGAGTTCGAGACCAGTCTGGCCAACATGGTGAAACCGGGTCTCTACTAAAAATACCAAAAAATTAGCCGAGCGTGGTGGCAGGCGCCTGTAATCCCAGCTACTTAGGAGGCTGAGGCAGGGGAATTGCTTGAACCAGCGAGGCAGAGGTTGCGGGGAGCCAAGATTGCGCCACTGCACTCCAGCCTGGGCAACAGAGCAAGACTCCGTCTCAAAAAAAAAAAAAAAATTTCCTCACAGAGTAGAGCTAACTCATAAGCAGTGTGCCCAGAGTCGGCCCACTTTGTCCCATTAGTACAAACAAGCTCTTTCCCCTTTCAGTCTCCTGCCACTTGTCCCAATCTTTCCTGTGTATTTTTTTTTTTTTTAAGATGAAGTCTTGCTCTGTCGCCCAGGCTGGAGGGCAGTGGCATAATCTCGGCTCACTGCAACCTCTGCCTCCCAGGTTCAAGTGAGTCTCCTGCCTCAGGCTCCCGAGTAGCTGGGACTACAGGCGTGTGCCACCACATATGGCTAATATTTGTATTTTTAGTAGAGATGGGGTTTTACCATGTTGGCCAGGCTGGTCTAGAACCCCTGACCTTGTGATCCGCCCACCTCGGCCTCCCAAAGTGCTGGGATTACAGGCGTGAGCCACTGCACCTGACCCTTCCCTGTGTATTAAAAGAAAAAAAAAAAGCTGGAAAAAAAAGGTTCTTTAACTATTTCTGCAACTTTGACGTACATATAATTCATTTTAGCTGGACACTTGCACTTGTTTAAAAGTTCTGACCCTGGTTTTCAAACTTAAACGTATTACGAATCACCCAGAAGGCTTGTTAATGCCTGGTGGCTCCAACACCAGAGCTTCAGATTCCATGGGTCTGTAAAGAGTGAGGGAGGGAAGGTCAAGCTTTTTTTCTTTCTTGAAGGTTTTTTGTTTTGGTTTGGTTTTTTGGAGATGAGGTCTCACTCTGTCACCTAGGTTGGTGTGCAGTGGTGCAATCATAGCTCACTACTGCCTCGAACTCCTGGGGTCAAAGAGATCAAGCCATCCTCCCATGTAGCTAGGACTATAGGTGTGCGTTACCATGCTTGGCTAATTTTTAAATTTTTTAGACATGGGGTATTGCCATGTTGCCCAGGATGCCCTTTAATTTGATCATCCTGCCTTGGTCTCCCGAAGTGCTAGCATTACAGATCTGAGCCACCACACCTAGCCAGGAAGGTAGTGTCTGTCTCTCAAGCCTCCCAGCACTTCTGTTTCTAACAGGTAGTAGTTCATGGGTCAGACATTCATAGTGTCCTTTCCTTTTTGTCTTCCACTATTTCTTTTTCTTTTTTTTTTTGAGCAAGGGCTCTCCCACTTACCTGCAGGCTGAACAGATTCTTTTCATAAGCATCTGCCTGGGGAATATTTTCTTACATAATTTGCCATAGGAAGTGCTCACTTCTCTGTCAGGCTAGCTGGGACAGGATTCCCATCTGCATTTCACACACTTGCACCCTATTTCATGGAGGATGGTATCCTACCCCATGTTAGAAATATAAAACAGCGTGGATTTTTTTTTTTTCAGACGGAGTCTCACTCTGTTGCCGAGGCTGGTGTGCAGTGCTGTGATCTCAGCTCACTGCAAACTCCGCCTCCTGGTTCAAGTGATTCTCCTGCCTCAGCCACCTGAGTAGCTGGGACTATAAGTGTAAGCCAACACGCCTGGCTAGTTTTTGTATTTTTAGTAGAGATGGGATTTCACCATATTGGCCAGGCTGGTCTCGAACTCCTGACCTTGTGATCCGCCCACCTTGGCCTCCCAAAGTGCTGGGATTATATGTGTGAGCCACCACGCTTGGCCAAGTGTGGATTTTAAAATATCTTACAGGCTGGGTGCAGGGGCTCAAGCCTGTAATCCCAGCACTTTGAGAGAACATGGCCGGCAGATTGCTTGAGCTCAGCAGTTTGAGACCAACCTAGGCAATATAGTGAGACTTTGTCTCTACTAAAAATTAAAAAAATCAGCCCGCCGGCACCATGGCTCATGCTTGTAATCACAACACTTTGGGAGGCCGAGGCGGGTGGATCACCTGAGGCCAGGAGTTTGAGACCAGCCTGGCCAACATGGTGAAACTCCGTCTCTACTAAAAATACAAAAATTAGCCGGGTGTGGTGGTGGGCACCTGTAATCCCAGCTATTCGGGAAGCTGAGGCAGAAGAATCGCTTGAACCTGGGAGGCAGAGGTTGCAGTGAGCCGAGATCGCACCACTGCACTCTAGCCTGGGTGCCAGAGCAAGACTCCATCTCAAAAAAAAAAAAATTAAATTAAAAAATAAATAAATAAAAAATAAAAAATATCTTATGGCACTCCCTTCATACTCATTACACCTGTGAAGATCAACCTGTTTCTCGGTGATAAGAAGGAATGTAGGCTGGGTGCGGTGGCTCATAGCTGTAACCTCAGCACTTTGGGAAGCTGAGGCATGAGGATTGCTTAAGCACAGGAGTTCCATACCAGCCTGGGCAACATAGCGCAACCTTGTCTCTACTGAAAATAAAAATTAAAAAAATTAACCAGGCATGGTGTCACTGACCTGTAGTCCCAACTACTCCGGAGGCTGAGACGTGAGGATCACTTGAGCCCAGGAGGTTGAGGCTTCAGTGAGCCGTGATTGTGCAACTGCACTCCAGCCTGGGTGACAGAGCGAGCCCTGTCTCAAAAAAAGCAACAACAAAAAAAGAGGGCATGTCAAAAGGAAAAGAGGATTTGATTTGCCAAAGTCAGATTTTCACAGGCAGTACGCACATCAGGTCTCTCCCCAGAACTCACCCAGGCTCACAAGGATACATGAGGAAAACAGACACGAAGATGTGCATTGACAGAACCATAGAGACTCTACAAATATTCATTATCCTTCATTAAAAATTTTAAGTTACAAACATTTTGATTGATAGTCAGTCATGGTGGTGCACCTAGTCCTTACTCTGAAACCAAATATCCTGCCATCTGGGGACTTTCACCAGCCCTGTCGGTTATCTTACCGCAACACCAAAGAGGAGGCTCAGCCTTCCCCAGTTCCCTGAGTTCACATTGATTCAATTCTACAGCTCACTAGACCTGCCCAAGACAGGACCAATCAATGTCCCGGGAGGGCAGAGAGGGTGGTGGGGCCACACTTAGCCATATGGAAAGACAGTATTCTCAGATGAGGGCAGGACTTTTTTGTGGGAGAGGACGCCTAGCTTTCAGTCCTAAAGGAAGTGATTTCCCTGGTAAAGGGAAGGTGATTTTGCCAAGGCTGGAGTCTAAAGGAAGATGGAACTGTCTTTCAGGCGTCTCCAGCAGACCCTCTACAGACCCGTGTTCCTGAAGGCAGAGTCCTGAAGGCAGAATACCCCTGTGGCAGTGGCACAGCTCAGAGTGTCCCATAGACACTGATTTTGGCCACGGAGATGCTCTCTGTGTAGTGGTTCCGGCCTTTCTCATACAGGACGTAGAGCTGGGGGGCCTGCTCCTCTCCATCCATGCTGCCCTCCAGGGTTGCCAGGGATGAATAGCCACTGGGGCCTGGCCATAGCTGGACTGTCTCTTTCCGCCATGAGGTACCATTGCTGAAGCTCCATCGCAGGGTCAGGTTCACTCCTGGGGAGAGCAGGAGAGTCAGGGAGAGAGGGTCTCTGCCCAGGCCTTGTCTAGACACAGGGCTCTCCCTGCTGACCCCACCCATGAGGCACTCACGGAACTCTGGATGTGCTGGGTTGGAGAAGAAGACAATGCCGGAGCTGGTGACTACAGCTCCTGCAGCTACCACAGGGTCCACGAGCTCAGGGTCGAAGGTCACATCACGGGGCCTTAGTGTATCACAGGCATCATAGCTGCGGAGGACAATTCGGCAGTGGCAGTGGTAGTTGTTCTGGTTTCGGGCATTGATGACGACTGAGCCATCTGGGAGCTCATAGGGCTGAGGGGAGAGGACAGGACCTCAGGGAGGGAACAGGGAAAATGCCCTGTCCCCGAGGGGAGCAAGGGTGTGTGGCACTGAGTGGAGCAGTCAGACCCTGGGTCTGTGCGTGAAATGATGTTCTGGAGGGCAGGGAGGGTCAAATGGGTAGGGAACATCTCATGGACTCCTGACCTGGCATTCATCAGGATTGAAATCATTTTCCTGCTTGGGCTGACCGTAGGGGATGCCGCTGACCCCACTTCCGTAGCGCCAGGAGGCACCATGATCATCGCTGAGGAGACAGAAGACTCCGTCCCGCTCCAGCGTCCCATGGCCACACACGATGAGGCGGCCCTTCCGTGGCTCCCGCTGTTTCTGTGGGAAAGGGAACTGGGTGTCACAGAAGGAGACTCTAGGGGCTCAGAGGCAGGGACAGAGAACCCACCACTTCCCAAATGCAATCACATGTATGGTCCCCTTGAGTTCAGCCCTTGCTCACTGAGGGTTCCAGTCAGATCCCATAAATACACACCCTGTTTGAATTAAGAAGCTCTCCCAGGGTGTACAGCTGGACATGTGCACCAGGGGCCCAGCCACAGGGTGCATGAGAGCTTAAACCCAACCTGTGCTCACTCGCCAAGCTGTGCACCCTGGCACAGGCTTGTGTCTGTCCAAAGAGGCAGTGCCTTTTTCTACTTTGCATGAGGGTATTGCATGGACTAACGCAGTCCTGTTGACAATGCCAAATGGGAAGCCAATGGCAGAGTTCCCTCTTCTCCTGATAATGTGTTCCTACCAGGATGCCCTGTCTTTCAAGGAATCCCACCCAAGCCAGAAAATCTGACTTCAGAGAATCTTCCCCTTGGAAAGGAGTCCATTTGGGGGTATCCCTCAGACTCTCCACAAGGCAGCCCCCTCCACCTATCTCCTAGGACAGAGACCTGAATACCAGAGCCCGGTCCAGGGGCAAACACTTCAGTGCCAATATCCAGGGAGAGATTCCGGGGTGTGCTCCAGGAAACACCATCATCCTTGCTCCATACCAACATGGTAGAGGCCACCTGGCAGCCGGCCTTGTGAGCACAAAGGGAGTAGAAAAGAAATACTACTCCTGTCTCAACATCGCTCACTACTGCCCCAAGGTTCAGCCCATCGGGGACATCCCCATCATTGACAATGAACGCTGTAGGAGACCATGTGCTGCCTGAAAAAAATTGGAGGAAGAAACCCAGAGTGAGCACTCTGCAGGTACCCTTTCTACCACTTCCCGTTAATTTCCCACCTTCTGCTAGGGACCTCAGGCCTTCCGATGGTCCCAGGGTGCAATCCAACACTTGCACTATCTATACCTCTTGTCCTGTTTTAT
This sequence comes from Homo sapiens, assembly GCF_000001405.40. Classification (NCBI taxonomy): domain Eukaryota; kingdom Metazoa; phylum Chordata; class Mammalia; order Primates; family Hominidae; genus Homo; species Homo sapiens. Next base: position 3,166,829 of record NT_167246.2, read on the forward strand.
TTTTCTCCATTGCATTTATCACCTTGCAACAGACAAAAAAGTTTACTTGTTTATTATGCTTGTCTGTCTCCTTCCAGTACAATTTAAATCCTGAGGGCAGAGATTTTTGATCTGTTTTGTTCGTGGCTATATTCATGAAACCTAAAATAGTGCCTGGTATAGGTATATAGTACCCAATAAATGTTTGCTAAGTGAATGTCCAACTCCTTGGTGATCCCAATTTCCAGATCACTGTCCTAGACACTTGCCCTTCTCGGGTTCCCTCTACCCCTCAGGGACTCAGGCAACCAACCCTCTAAGTTCCCCTATCCTCAGGGCCCTTGGGCTCATTGGGCTGCCCACCCATCCAACCTAGCACCGGCTCTTTCACCCAGACATCTTTATACCCTGGTCCATGGACCTCCGCAGGGCGATGAACTTGGCCCCCTCATCGGATGAGGACATTTTCCTCGCCTCAGCAAAGGCGAGAAGAGTGCCCCGCGGAGTGGCTGTGATGAGCGGGATGCGGAAGGTGTCCACTGAGCCGATCTGTCTCCCGCTCACCCACAGCAGTTGCTCCATGGTCACCAGCGGCTGCACCTGTCATGGGAGGAGGAAGGGTCAACAAAGACAAACTTGTCTTGGGGGTTTTAGGAACCCACGTTCCGATGGGAGAGGGAGGATCTAATGGGGATCCCGAGTAGGGGATGGGGTCCCAGAACAAGAAAGAGGAACACGAAGGGGAGTTTGGAGCGAAGCTGGAGGCTCGGAGCAGGGGAGGGTCTACGAAAGGAGAAGGCGCCTTCAGGGAGGGAAGGGGACCCCAAAAGAGGAAGGGGCTCGAATGAGGAGAAGGACGGGGACCCGGAGAGGGAGAGGGGCTGGGAGCGGTAGGAGGAAACGGGGTCTGGGAGAAAGAAAAGGGTCCTGTCGCGGAAAGTCGGCTCAGCCGCCCGCGTTCCGGGGGACACTAGGTGTCGATCACCTGCGCGGGTCGGGGATGGGGCTATGCAAAGGGTGACTCACCAGACCGAAGTCGTTCTCAGCCTTGGACCAGGAGGCTGCCAGAGACAGCAGCAGGAAGATCGCGGCAAACACCCAAACCCTACAGCCTCCCCAGAAGCCCAGAATCCGCGGCCCCCAGCGTCTGTCCGGGAGCGCCGTGCTGGGTCGCTCCCCAGTCATCTCTCCCCGCAGCTGCCGCGACCCTGGCAGCTAGACTCCACAGAGTCGGGAGTCAGCTGACCCGGACCCTTTAAAGCGCAGATGTCACCCTTAAGCCCGCCCCGGTCTGGAGGCCCCGCCGCGCTTCCCGGACTCTAATTGGTCTTCAAGTAGCTCATCTCCTCCCACGTGATCACGCAGCATCTCGAAGCTTGCCCTTCCGATTGGCCCTCTTGGAGGCCCTCTTGGAGGCCCGGAGCGCGTGACCCGAACGGGAAGCGGACTGGCTGGGGTGAAGAAGGGACTGGCACCATCCTTATTGGGCTTTTTGATTGGCCGCGGCACCAGGACACGTCACAGGGGCGGGGCCGATTTTAAAGAGCCGGGCGCGGAAAAAAAAAGGCCGCCTGTCGTCGTGGAGAGAATGAGTCACAGATTTACTGAGTTAACAAAATATCTTTAATAAAATCTTTTTGTTTGTTTGTTTTGTTTTGGAGACAGAGTCTGTCACCCAGGTTGGAGTGCAGTGGCGCGATCTCGGCTCACTGCAACCTCTGCCTCCCGGGTTCAAGCGATTCTCCTGCCTCAGCCTCCCGAGTAGCTGGGATGACAGGTGCATGCCACCACTCTCGGCTAATTTTTGTATTTTTAATAGAGACGGAGGTTTCACCATGTTGGCC
>NT_167246.2:3221583-3255741 GCF_000001405.40 Homo sapiens
GGCCAACACGACGAAACCCTGTCTCTACTAAAATTGCAAAAATTAGCCTGGCGTGGTGGCATGTGCCTGTCATCCCAGCTATTTGGGAGGCTGAGGCAGGAGAATTGCTTGAACCTGGGAGGCGGAGGTTGCGGTGAGCAGAGATTGCACCATTGCACTCCAGCCTGGGCAACAGAGTGAGACTCCGTCTCAAAAAAAAAAAAAAAAAAAAGAGTGATGTCACTGTTGTGTGCAGTGGAGTTCGATTCCCCCAGGCCCTCCTGAGGAGAGAGCTGAATGTCTCCAGACGCTTTCCACCTGAAGGACAGGAGGCAGGAGCATCTGTCTACTGCTTCCCACTCTGCAATAATTGCAGGTTGACTCTGGGCATTAGTTCTCTGCCCTTTTTTTTTTTTTTTTTGAGACAGAGTTTTGCTCCTTTTGCCCAGGCTGGAGTTGTAGTGAGCTGAGATAGCGCCACTGTACTCCAGCCTGGGTGACAGGGCGAGACTCCATCTCAACAAAAAAAAAAAAAAAAAAAAGGCTGGCTGTGGTGGCTCATGTCTGTAATCTGAGCACTTTGGGAGGCCGAGGCGGGTGGATTACCTGAGATCATGAATTTGAGACCAGCCTGGCAAACATGGTGAAACCTCGTCTCTACTAAAAATACAAAAATTAGCCGGCGTGCTGGTGGGCACCTGTAATCCGAGCTACTTGGGAGGCTGAGGCAGGAGAATCGCTTGAACCCAGGAGGCGGAGGTTGCAGTGAGCCAAGACGGCACCACTGCACTCCAGCCTGGGTGACAGAGTGAGACTCTGTCTCAGAAAAAAAAAAAAAAAGAAAAAAATTATGATACAGAGAACAATGAGATGTTTTATAAATTTATAGTTCAAAAGAAACATTTTATTTTGGTAAAAGCCAAGAAGTGAAAGATAAATAGTTTTGCAGCCATAAAAAAAAAAAATTAAATCATGTCCTTTGCAGCAACATGGATGGAGCTGGAGGACAGAATCCTAAATGAATTAGCGTAGGAACAGAAAACCAAATGCCTAATGTTCTCACTTATAACGGAACTAAATATTGAGCACATATGGACATAAATATAGGAACAATAGACACTGAAGACTACTAGAAGGGGAGAGAGGGAGGGAGTGTGGGTTAAAAAATTACCTAATTGGTTCTATGACTACCTAGTGCAATATACCCATGTAACAAACCTGCACCTGTACCCCCTGTATCTAAAATAAAAGTTGGAATTTTAAAAAAAGAAAAAAAGGCCAGGCGCGGTGGCTCATGCCTGTAATCCCAGCACTTTGGGAGGCTGAGGTAGGCGGATCACCTGAGGCCAGGAGTTGGAGACCAGCCTGGCCAACATGGTGAAACCCCGTCTCTACTAAAAATGCAAAAATTAGCTGGGCGTGGTGTCAGCCGTTTGTAATCCCAGCTACTTGGGAGGCTGAGGCAGGAGAATTGCTTGAACCCGGGAGGCGGAGGTTGCAGTGAGCCGAGATCACGCCATTGCACTCCAGCCTGGGTGACACAAAGAGACTCTATCTGAAAAAAAGAGAAAGAAAATGTGCTCTTATGTAAGTGAGAAATGTTCTGAAAAAAGAAAAAAGAGAAATATTTTAAAATGAAAAATTTGAGCTTTTCCGTAAAAAAATTTTTAATGAATTCCCAGCACTTTGGGAGGCCTAGGTTGGAGGATTGCTTGAGGCTAGTTCAAGACCAGCCTGGAAAACATAGCAAGACCTCATCTCTAATTAAAGTAAACAATTAAAAAAAACTTAGCCTGGTATGATGGCATATGCCTGTAATCTCAGCTACTCAGGAGGCTGAGGTGGGAGGATTGTGGAAGCCCAGGAGTTTGAGGCTGCCGTGAGCTATGATCAGGTCTCTGCACTCCAGCCTGGGCAACAAAGCAAGACCCCATCTCAAAAAAAAAATATTCCTCGAGGCCAGGCACAGTGGCTCACACTTGTAATCCTAACACTTTGGGAGACTGAGGCAGGAGGATCACTTGAAGCTAGGAGTTTGAGGCCAGTCCGGGCAACATACTGAGACCCCTGTCTTTACAAAAGTAAATAAATGAATAAATTAGCTGGGCATGGTGATGCATGCTTCTTGTCCCAGCTTCTTGGAAGGCTGAGGTGGGAGGATCATGTGAGCCCAGGAGTTTGTGGTTACAGTGAGCTGTGATTGCACCACTAAACTCCAGCCTGGGTGACAGTGAGACCCTGTCTTTAACTTAAAAAAAAAAAAAAATCCTGGCTGGGAGCGGTGGCTCACGCCTGTAATTCCAGCACTTTGGGAGGCTGAGGTGGGCGGATCACGAGGTCAGGAGTTCAAGACCAGCCTGGCCAAGTTGGTGAAACCCCATCTCTACTAAAAATACAAAAAAATTAGCTGGGTGTAGTGGCGGGCACCTGTAATCCCAGCTACTCAGGAGGCTTGAACCTGGGAGGCAGAGGTTGCAGTGGGCCGAGATTGCATCACTGCACTCCAGCCTGGGTGACAGAGCAAGACTCTGTCTCAAAAAAAAAAAAAAAAAAAAAATTCCTGGAAGGAATGGTTGGTGGGTGGTATATAGACATGAACCCAGACCGTCTATGAACCGAGACCGTCTATGAACTGAAGCTAGATGATGGATACATACATGAAAGTTCATTTTACTATTCTCTCTACTTTACAATATGTTTGAAATTTTACAAAATAAAACTTAATCTGCAGAGAGATTGTATCAGGGTCTCTTGTTAATAGTCCAGTAGGGTATTTCTTTTCTTTTCTTTTCTTTTCTTTTTTTTTTTTTTCTGGAGACGGAGTTTTGTTCTTGTTGCCCAGGTTGGAGTGCAGTGGTGCAATCTCAGCTCACAGCAACCTCTGCCTCCCAGGTTCAAGCAATTCTCCTGCCTCAGCCTCCTGAGTAGGTGGGATGACAAGTGCCTGCCAAGACACCCGGCTAATTTTTGTATTTTTAGTAGAGACGGGATTTCACCATGTTGGTCAGGCTGGTCTCAAACTCCTGACCTCAGGTGATCCACCTGCCTTGGCCACCCAAAGTGCTGGGATTACAGGCGTGAGCCACTGGGCCTGGCCTTGAATAGGTATCATATGTACCCAGTGAAAACTACAAGGAGTAATAAAGGGGATTTGGTGAAAATTAAGTTGCCTTCTTTACCTCCCACCTCATTTTCCAGCCCCCAGTTCTCCCCAGAGGCAACTCTCCTATCCAGTTTTTTGTAAACTTTTCCAGTGAAATTATATACACACAGAGAGCATATGTGGCTACTATCCTCTTTCCCTCCTTTTTTTGCATAAATGGTGGCATCCCATACATACAGTTCTGAATGTCTATCTAGTTTAAAAGTGTATATTATATAACATATATATCTGGAGACATTCAGCTCTGTACACACAGATAAGCCTTAAGCTTGCAGAGACTGCGTAGTATTCAGTTGTCCCCATACCACAATGTGCTGTGTCTGTCCCCTATTAATGGACGTGGGAGTTTCCAAACATTTCCTCTTGGTAACAGTGAATGCTAAAGCAAATATCCTGGTACCTTTTATACCTGTAGGGTAGCCGATCTTCTCCTTTTGATGGTCCTAATTCTCAAAGGTAACCTTAAGGGGAGTGTATTTTGCTGTTGGTTCTGTGGATGACAGGTGACAAAACAGGGTGAGTAAGGCTACGAAATAGCTAATGAATTTGCCAAGCCAAACCTGAGGTTCCAGGCTGTCTTAAGTCAAAGCCTGAATTCCTCATACCACACTGGGGCTGGGGCCAGAGACGGGGCAGGAGGAGCTCTTCTCAGGTATAACCTTTCATTTGTGTTGGGCAGGAAAGCAAGGCATGAACGTATGTCTTTCTACTGGGCAAGTTCCCTCTTCACCCCTTGGCAGCACTGGAGGAGTGAGGGCAGGAGGATTCTCCCATGTGAGCCCCAGGCTATCCTTTTGTCAAGAGGGTACTGGTACCCAGAACTGGGAAGGGGATGAATATCTCCCCACTCCCCAGGATAAAGGAAAACATTAGAGAGGAATTTTCAATGAAAGGGCAGAGGAGGCTAGTGAGGCCCCCACTGCCACCAATGCTAAGCCCAGAGCTGGGGTTGGGGTGGTGAGGACCGGAGCCAGGGCAATTCAGCCATAGGCCACCCCTCCCCCTGGCCCATCCTCAGCTGACCCCTGAGCACCTGAGTTGTGTTTACCACCCTCTTACCTGGGTTACCCAGGGCAGCTTCCCTGATGGGTAGCAAGAAGTGGGTGATAACATGCACCATGCCCCCCACCAGCCCAAGGACAGTGGAGACCTCAGAGGGCTGAGGTAAGAGCTGCGGTGTGGGCAGATGGACACCCTGGTACACCCCAGGCCTGTGAGTCTTTAGAGGTTGAGTTTTTGTCTGAAAGAGATATGGCGCCTACAGGAGGTCAGGGACAGGCCTTCTGTTTCTTGGGAGGCCCTACCCCACCCCTTAGTTCCTCGTTCCATTCTCAGGAATTGTTTGTGCAATGGATGGACAAGGACAGGAGGTTCAGTGTCTAACCCAGTGTCTGGGCCTGCAGGGTGGCCTCTGAGGCCCAGGGCCCTGGAAGAGCCTGGGCATGGGGAGGAGCCCCATGGGGCAGGGCAAAACCCTTTCTGAGGCTCTAAGGGTGATGTATGTGGAGATTCCTCAAGATCATAGTTGGGCAATCACTTCAAAGTTAGTAGGCAGTGCCTGCTAGGATGGGGGATGGTGTGGGTACCGAGGAACTTAGCAGAGGCCTTTGTGTGGAAATGGGTGGGGTCTGACCCAATGTAAATATTTTTATTAAAAAAGAAATGGATGAGAAACCAAAGCCAATTCTGTTGCTGACCTGAAAGATGCTATTTACTTGGGGTGGAAATAGGATGGGGGAGGGCATTGGCTTGACCTTACTTGGATAGCTCATTGTTTAAAAAAAAAACTCCTGGATCCTTCCTCTGGGGAGCTTGAGACAAGTGCACAAGTAGCTAGAAGGTGGGAAATGGCGTGGACAGGTCTTGTAGGAGTCTGGAAGATGAGGGATTTGAGAAGGATGGAAAAGAAGGTGTTATGGGAGAGGGGGTGCCAAGAGGAAAGAGCCTAGGGGAGAGAGGGCTTGGAAATGCAAGGGGCTGGGGTAGACTTCAGGGATGCGCAAGGAGCTCCCAGCAGTCACTAAAGAGAAGACGTGAGGAAGAGGCACTACCACTTGGTGGCTATGAGTGTGGACCCAGGAGCCATGCTGCCTGGGTTTGAATCCCGGCTCTGCTGCTTAGTACCTGTATGAACCTGGGGCAGCTCACTTAACCTTTGTGTGCCTCAGTTCCCTCATCTGTAAAGTGGGAGTAACAACAGAACCTGTGTCATAAGCTTGCTGTGAGGATTAAGTGAGCACCTACATTTAAGACTTAAAAATACTGTCTGGCACTATGTCCTGCTAATATGAAGTCTTCCTCCCCCAGAAGCAGACCTGGAGACAAGGGTTCCAGTGCAGACAGTGCATTCTGGAGGTGATCGCAAGAAACATGGGTAGTGGAGTGTGATAGAGAAGGAAGGCAGTCAATGAAGGGTGTGTTATCAGGCAAATTTACCATTGTGGGTGAGTGGAGGTCAATCCCACTCAGGAACCCTGGAGTGGTGCAGAGTTATCCCATGGTCCAGGGTGAGGGAGCCCAGTATTTATACCAATCAGTCATTGGTTGAAGGCCTTAATTCTCTGTCATTTCCAGCTTTCTGTGCACAGATGGTGCAGGACACCAAAAACAATCCTTGGGTAGAGACAGAGATGCTGCAGCTGGAAGTCAGTGGAGCACCCCAGTGATAAGGCCCAAGGGATATGGTGGGGCAAGGACAGATCCACTAAAACCACCAAGAGGCTTGCAGAGCAATGCTGAATCCCCATCTAAAGTCACACATTAAGGCTGTGAACCAGGCCAAGCCAGACTAGTTTTCCAATTTGGGGGTTGACCTGCAGTTGCCATAGAAGGTTGAGGGGTGGCAGATCCTAGGATGACCGCGAAGTCCAGGCCCAAGTGGCCAGACTGGATAAGGAGTAGACTGGCCACTAGAGTGGGGTCGGCCTCTGCTATATGCCACGTTTCCTCAGAAATTTTCAGCTGCAAGGTGCTGAGCTCTCCAGGGGAGAATAAGGCATCCTGAGAGGCCATCAGAGCATCATTTCTGATTTTTAAACTCTGATTAGGGGGCCTGGCACAGTGGCTCACACCTGTAATCCCAGCACTTTGGGAGGCAGAGGCAGGTGGATCACCTGAGGTCAGGAGTTTGAGACCAGCCTGACCAGCATGGTGAAACCCCATCTCTACTAAAAATACAAAAATTAGCTGGGCATGGTAGCACATGCCTGTAATCCCAGCTACTTGGGAGTCTGAGGCAGGAGAATCCCTTGAACCCAGGAGGTGGAGGTTGCAGTGAGCCGAGATCGTACTGCTTCACTCCAGCCTGGGCAACAAAGCAAGACTTTGTCTCAAAAACAAAAAACCAAAAAAACCAAAAGCAAAAATCCAACTCTGACTAGGAGATGAAGTACAGAATTGGGGTATTGGTTTTTTCTCTTTGGAATTGTACCCTTGGAAGCAGATATTAGAAGCCTAGAATTGATAAGAAGAAATTTGGACAAGATGGAAGAAGCTGGCAGGAGAGGCATGTCTGTTTTTTAGATATTATTCACCTGCTTCCCTCTACCTGGAGTGAAAACACGGTTACATTTGCTGGGCTTTTGAATGGTACAAGAAATAGAGAAGCCAAGGTCGCCCTCATCTGGTGGGGTCTACTGAAAAGCTAATCGGGAGTGCCGAGGGGAATAAAGGTCTGGCATCTTTAGCCCCACAGGTCAGGTCATGGTCCTTCCACATTCGACTGGGCCTCCTGGAGAGCTGACAGTGGACTATAACTGACTTTTTGCCAATGGAATATGAATGGAAGAGTGGGGTGGGAGGCAGACTTGATGGAGACCCTGTTTCAACCATGCAGACAAGGACAATTTCCAAAGGCATGAACCACAGATGGAAGGAAGCTGGAGGCCTGAAGGAGGCTGATGAGCAGCTCTGCCAGCCAGGGCCACACACGCCATCTCAGCCTTGTCTGCTTACCCTGAGCCTCTTATTTTGTTTTTATTTTTTTTTTGTTGAGATGGAGTCTTGCTCTGTCACCCAGGCTGGAGTGCAGTGGCACGATCTCCGCTCACTGCAAGCTCCATCTCCCGGGTTCACGCCATTCGCCTGCCTCAGCCTCCCGAGTAGCTGGGACTACAGGCGCCGCCACCACACCCAGCTAATTTTTTTTTTTTTGTAGTTTTAGTAGAGACAGGGTTTCACCATGTTAGCCAGGATGGTCTGGATCTCCTGACCTCGTGATCCGCCCGCCTCGGCCTCCCAAAGTGCTGGGATTACAGGCGTAAGCCACCGCACCCGGCCTCTGAGGCTCTTATTTATTTATTTTTTTTGAGATGGAGTCTCGCTCTGTCTCCCAGGCTGGAGTGCAGTAGCGCGATCTCAGCTCACTGCAAACTCCGCCTCCCGGGTTCCTGCCATTCTCCTGCCTCAGCCTCCCGAGTAGCTGGGACTACAGGCGCCTGCCACCGCGCCCGGCTAATTATTTGTATTTTTTAGTAGAGACGGGGTTTCACCGTGTTAGCCAGGATTGTCTCGATCTCCTGACCTTGTGATCCACCCGCCTCGGCCTCCCAAAGTGCTGGGATTACAGGCGTGAACCACCGCGCCCGGCCTCTGAGGCTCTTATTTGAAAGTGCAGCAAAATTCTATCTTATTTAAGTTACTGTATTTTAGGGTCTCTTTATTACAGAAGTTTAACGTGTATCCTAATAAACACACTTCTCTGAGTGTTGCCTTTGGCTCTCACATTGATTTCTTGCTAGGTATATCAGTTAGACATGGTTTGGCTTTGTTATAACCAAGCTAGAATAACAGCAGCTTAAATGGTCTGAGCATAAGTGGTCCAGGTCAATCCTATTAGCTCTACAGGATTGGAGAGCAGGGCCTCTTTAATTTTGTTTCTTTATCATCATCCACATGTGACTTCCATTTTGTGATCTAGGTGGCTGTTCCAGAGTCCACCATTCTGTCCACATTCCAGCTGGTGGGAAGGGAAGAAGTTTTATACATTGAGGAGTAAACACTTCTCCTTAAGAACATACTCTGTGGGCCCAGAAAACTTGGGAGTTTTATTACTTAAGCAGGAAGAGAGAATGAATTCTGCCACACTGTGCCAAGTTGATGTAGCTCAACAAATACTGGGAAAAACTCATGAAAGAAAGGCCCTTTCTTTTGAAGGCAGCTGTTACATATTAGTTTGATGGCTTTAAAAGGCACCCAAAGTTTAGTGATTTGAATGTTCAGTCAGGTTAGGCTTCATTACGTTCTGGTAACCAACAACCTAGAAATATTTGTTGCCATAGGAGGGCTTACAAAATATAGCCATCAATCTCTCCTATTCTGATGTGCCTGCCCCTTTGCCGTGTGACTTTGCCATTCCTCCTATCAAGAGGTAAATTCTATGCCTCCAGTCTTAAATCTGGGCTGACCTTGTGATTTGCTTTGACCAATAGAATGTGGCAGAAGTGATGTTATGTGACTTTTGGGGCTAGGCCTCGAGAGACCTTGCAGCTTATGTTTTGGATTCCTCAGAAGTTGTCCTGAGACTGCCATGCTATGAGGGCTAGGGAGGAAGGACCTGCTGTCCTACTGTTAACTGAACTCAGCCCCTAGCTGACTGCCGCTGCATGGAAGATCAGCAGAAGAACCTTCTGGCCAATATGAGAAAGAATAAATCATTTTTAAATTTCCTACATATTGGGTGGGTACTTTTTTTCCTGCATTAGTAGAAATGCAATGAATTAAAATAACAAAGGTTTATTTTTTGGTCATATTACTTATCCACTGAGAGTCAGCCGAGTATTGCGCTTTTTTTTTCTTTTTTGAGACAGAGTCTCCCTATGTCACCCAGGCTGAAGTGCAGTGGTGTGATCTCGGCTCACTGCAATCTCTGCCTCCCGGGTTCAAGCGATTCTCCTACCTCAACCTCCTGAGCAGCTGGGATTACAGGCGTATGCCACCACGCCCAGCTAATTTTTGTATTTTTAGTAGAGATGGGGTTTCACCATGTTGGTCAGGCTGGTCTCTAACTCCTGAACTCAGGTGATCCCCCTGCCTCGGCCTCCCAAAGTGCTGGGATTACAGGTGTGAGCCACTGTGCCCGGCTGGTACTGTGCTTTCGATATCACCCAGGGATCTTGGCTGGTGGAGCAGCCACCATCTCAGACGTTACCATACAGAGGGGAAGAGCAGGGTGAAGACTACATTGAGCTTCCATCAGGAAGTGATACATATCACTTGTACTCACATCTTATTGGCTAAAACAAGTGGCTGGGGAAATCCTATCCTACCATGTGATTGAAAGAAGACAAGGCTACAGTATTTGTGAACATCCTTAAATACCCCCCACCTTTACGATAGTTTATTTCTCTCTTGTAACAATCTAAGTGGCTGTGCAGGGCTGGTATGACATCAACACTGTGTCAGACACCCAGGCTCCTCTGTCTGTTTGCTCTGTCATCCCCAGCATGTTGCCCTCATCCTCCTGGTGGAAGACGGATCTCCGCTAGGTTTATATTCCAGCCCATGAAAAGAAAAGGCACACTGCCTTTTTATTTTAGGGACATAACTTGGAAATGACATACATAAGTTCTACTAACATCCCATTAGCCAGAACCAAGTCACCTGGCTACCTAGCTGCAAGGGAAGCTAGGAAATATGGTCTTTAGCTGGGTGACTGTGTGTTCCCCTAACCATCTCTTACTGTGGAAGGAGGGAGAAAAGATACTTGAGGGGCAGGGGAGGCACTAGCAGCTCTGCCACAGCAGCCACTTTGGAGTCCCTAACACCAGGATGTCCTGATTTTCATGCACTTAGCCCTGTCCAAGGGGAGTCTCAATTTGTGTACTCTTTTTTTTTTTTTTGAGACAGAGTCTTGCTCTTGTCACCCAGGCTGGAATGCAGTGGCATGATCTTGGCTCACTGCAACCTCTGCCTCCCGGGTTCAAGTGATTCTCCTGCCTCAGCCTCCCGAGTAGCTGGGATTACAGGCCCCTGCCACCACACCCGGCTAATTTTTTGTAATTTTAGTAGAGACGGGGTTTCACCATGTTGGCCGGGCTGGTCTCAAATTCCTGACCTCATGATCCACCTGCCTCAGCCTCCCAAAATGCTGGGATTACAGGCGTGAGTCACTGTGCCCGGTCTTATTTTTTTTTTTTCTTTTTGAGATGTAGTCTTACTCTGTTGCCCAGGCTGGAGTGCAGTGGCACAATCTTGGCTCACTGCAACCTCCATCTTCTAGGTTCAATCAGTTCTCTAAGGACTCACTTATAAATCAAAAGGGTTTTTACGAACCTAAATGATCACTTCAGAGAGGTTTCATGTTCATTTTTTTATTGGTCTTATTTATTTTTACCCTACATTGTTCAAAAAGGTATTGAAAAGACTTCTGTGGGTCAGGGAGACTAACACACTAGCTTCAAGTTTCTTTGCTTCCTGCATTTCATACAAGTGTAGGTTATGATTTAAAGGCATATCCCAGCCCCCGCAAAAGTTTTATTCCTTTGAGTAACCAACCCCAAATGTATTTACTTTGCCAGTTGGGAATTTCATCTACTAGACTTTCCGTAAAAATGTTGTAAACATTTTTCCTGTCTCCAAAACTAAGTGTTGATTTCATTTTTTCCACCTAGATTATCTCTAGGGAAGGATTGTAGGGAATAAAAAAGTATTGTCAATCTTCCTATTTATCAAGAAGTTCTAAAAAAATTAGTTTCACCCCCCTCGGAAGTTTATCTTCAAGAAGACAGAACTGTTCTAGGCTCTCAGGAAGTAAAACCCACTTGGTACAACCCAAAAGAACACTAAAACTTTACTTAAATGAAATATTTTGCAATATCTTGGATGGTTTGTGGGTTTGTGTGCTTTAGACTATTGACTATTCACACAAGAGCAAGGTGCATGTGTGCACACACGAGCCCAAATATGTGTTTGCCTGCGTGTTTGTGAGCATGCGTGTATGGTGCACATGTGCACGCATGGGTGGGTGGAGCGTGGGGGCAGTACACAAAGCCTGTGGGGGAGATCTATTGACCCTATAGATATATTAGCATCAGGGAGACAGGGCAAAGGTTTCACCCTTCAGTTCAGTCCCCAATCCCTGCTTATTATTTCCCTAACAGAAGACCATCCCCCTTGCCACTCCCTGGTTTTTCTTCTCTGGCAGCAATGAAGCAGCTGCTGACCCAGCTCTAGTTTTCGGGAAGTCAGATGACCTTTTCCCTCCCGCGGCTCTCTACCTCTCGCCGCCCCTAGGGAGGACACCATGGGCCCACTGATGGTTCTTTTTTGCCTGCTGTTCCTGTACCCAGGTAGGAGGCAGGGAAGGGGGAACGTCAGGGTCCTGTGTGTGAGGTTGGTGCTCCCAGCTTGAATTCCCATGTGTGAAACAGTCTCTTTTGCTTTCCTTTTCTCATCTGTGTCTTCCTTCTTTCTCCATTGCTGTCTCCTTGTTCCCACGGCTCTAGGTCTGGCAGACTCGGCTCCCTCCTGCCCTCAGAACGTGAATATCTCGGGTGGCACCTTCACCCTCAGCCATGGCTGGGCTCCTGGGAGCCTTCTCACCTACTCCTGCCCCCAGGGCCTGTACCCATCCCCAGCATCACGGCTGTGCAAGAGCAGCGGACAGTGGCAGACCCCAGGAGCCACCCGGTCTCTGTCTAAGGCGGTCTGCAAACGTGAGGCTCCCTGTGGGCTTTGCTCAGGGTGCTACACCAGGGGCCACCCCAGAACTTTTGTTTAGGAGTTGCTCAGGGTGGGACTTAACCTGACTAGATGGCAAAGTTGCTTTTGCAGAGGGCTTTTCAAAATATCCAGAAAATGTCAATTGCCAGTAGCAAGGAATTGGGAACAGGTCTTGATGGAGACTGTGGGGTACTAAAGCCAGGGATGACTTTTTATGTACAATTGACTGCCTAGTAGTGACCATTCAGAACAGATGCTGAATGGTCCTGGAGTCCTCTAGACATCTGAGGATCCCAAGGGGAGTGTCTGGGGAGGCCACGGCCCTCAGGAGACTGAGGGAAGTGGCTATTTATCAATCAGTTCGCTTAGACTCTGTGAAATTGGCAATATTCAATCAGTTGCCAAAAACAGCAATTTCACATGTTGCAACCTAATATTTCAGTGTTTTGACAGCCAGTTGACCATTCCCATGCATTCCAGCATAAAATCACCTGCTTAATCCCCAGCCCAGGTGTTATCCATCCAGTCCTATATTCCCCACCCACTTCCTCTCTCTCCAGCTGTGCGCTGTCCAGCCCCTGTCTCCTTTGAGAATGGCATTTATACCCCACGGCTGGGGTCCTATCCCGTGGGTGGCAATGTGAGCTTCGAGTGTGAGGATGGCTTCATATTGCGGGGCTCGCCTGTGCGTCAGTGTCGCCCCAACGGCATGTGGGATGGAGAAACAGCTGTGTGTGATAATGGGGGTGAGTTCTCTGGCTGATGGGCTACACAGGGGGCTGGGGTCTCCTGGGGAACCCTGGGGCCCAATGTGCATCCAGGAAGCCTCTGTGGGGATAGGAGTCTGTTGTTCAGTGTGCCATAATAATATTCCTGGATTTTGGTAAATTGAGGTCTACAGGTCACACATCACAAGTCTGCAAGGGCCAGGCCCCAGGCAGCTGGTGCTAAGCTTCAGATGTAGCATAAAGCCTCCACACACTCTGCCTGGCTTTTCTAAGTGCCTCAAAGCAAGACTTCATATTCAGGCCCCACAGATTGTTGTAGGGAAGATATGCTGGGAGAGAGTCAAGTACTGTGCTTTAATGCCTTGCCTTTAAAGCCAGGTTTGGGTTCCAAGCCCTACTCTGACTTTGACAGACTTTGGGAAGGCTATTTAACCTTTCTAGCCCTCAGTTTTCCCATCTGTAAGACAAGGATAGTGAGTGCTGACCTGAGATTGCCATCTGGATTAAATGAGTTGACATTAGTAAGCATATACAACAGCCCTGGAGTGCGGTGGCTCACGCCTGTAATCCCAGCACTTTGGGAGGCCAAGGGGGGTGGATCACAAGGTCAGGAGTTTGAGACCAGCTTGGCCAACATGGTGAAACCCCGTCTCTAGTAAAAATACAAAAATTAGCCGGGTGCGGTGGCGCATGCCTGTAATACCAGCTATTCAGGAGGCTGAGGCAGGAGAATCATTTGAACCAGGAAGTGGAGATTGCAGTGAGCCGAGATTGCATCATTGCACTCCAGCCTGAGTGACAGAGTAAGACTCTGTCTCAAAAAAAAAAAAAAAAAAAAAAATGCCAGCCTCGGTGCCTCACGCCTATAATCCCAGCACTTTGGGAGGCTGAGGTGGGTGGATCACCTGAGGTCAGGAGATTGAGACCAGCCTGGTCAACGTGGTGAAACCTCGTCTATACTAAAAATACAAAAATTAGCTGGGCGTGGTTAATCCCAGCTACTCAGGAGGCTGAGGCAGGAGAATCACTTGAACCTGGGAGGCAGAGGTTGCAGTGAGCCGAGATCGTGCCACTGCACTCCAGCCTGGGTGACAGAGTGAGACTCTGTCTCAAAACAAACAAACAAACAAACAAAAAACAAAAAAAACAGCCCCTGGAATCTGATAAATGCCATGTACACTTTTTTTTTTTTTTGAGACGGAGTCTAGCTCTTGTTGCCCAGGCTGGAGTGCAATGGCGCAATCTCAGCTCACCGCAACATCTGCCTCCCGGGTTCAAGTGACTCTCCTGCCTCAGCCTCCCAAGAAGCTGGGATTACAGGCATGCGCCACCATGCCTCGGTAATTTTCTATTCTTAGTAGGGACAGGGTTTCTCCATGTTGGCCAGGCTGGTCTCAAACTCCTGACCTCAGGGGATTCTGCCCACCTTGGCCTCCCAAAGTGCTGGGATTACAGGCGTGAGCCACGGCATCCGGCCTTGTTTTTGTTTCTTTAAGAGACAGGATCTCGCTGTGTTGCCAAGGCTGGCTTCAAACTCCTGAGCTCAAGTGATCTTCCTACCTCAGCCTCCTCAGTAGCTGGGAATGCAGGCATGTGCCACCACGCCTGGCCATAAGCACTTTTGTCATAGTTATTGCTGCCCCTGTGAATGGTGAGGGGCTCTGCTTGGCAGAAGTAGGGCTCCTAGGATTCCCTGGAGCTGCATTTGCCTGTGGGTTTGGGAGCTTCTTGGATCATGGTTCTTAGCACATCATACAGAAGACACGGAGTCCACAAGATGGCAGGACCACCTTCACCTAGTGGCCCAGACCATGGATCCCCACTCATGCCCTTGGGTTTTGGCAAATGGCCATTTATTCTGTAGGAGGGTGAAGTAGATGCCTGGTAAGACTGTGATAAGTAATGCTTGAATTATTAGACGTGACTCTAACTTATTTTAAAATTGAGGCATAATTTACCTATTGTAAAATGTACAAATCTTAACTATTCAGCTCAATGATTTGTTACAATGCATCCACTCATCTAATCACCACCCAAGACAGAATGAGGTTCCCTCTTGTCCCCTCCCACAAGGTAACTGCTCTTCTGACCTCTGTCTCCATGGACTAGGTACCTTGTGCTTACATTTCCTGTAAATGGAATCATGCGGGATGTGGTCTGTTGCTTCTGGCATCCTTTGTTCTATATTCTGCCTGTGAGATTTATCCATGCTGTTGTGTGTATCAGTACTTTGTTCTTTTTTATTGCTGTGTAGTATTCCATTATATGGGTATATTACAATTTATCCATTCCCCTCCTGATGGACATTTGGATTATTTCCAGTTTGGGGCCATTAGGAGTAAAGCTCTAGGAACATTCTTTTTTTTTTTTTTTTTTTTATTGATCATTCTTGGGTGTTTCTCACAGAGGGGGATTTGGCAGGGTCACAGGACAATAGTGGAGGGAAGGTCAGCAGATAAACAAGTGAACAAAGGTCTCTGGTTTTCCTAGGCAGAGGACCCTGCGGCCTTCCGCAGTGTTTGTGTCCCTGGGTACTTGAGATTAGGGAGTGGTGATGACTCTTAAGGAGCATGCTGCCTTCAAGCATCTGTTTAACAAAGCACATCTTGCACCGCCCTTAATCCATTCAACCCTGAGTGGATACAGCACATGTTTCAGAGAGCACAGGGTTGGGGGTAAGGTCACCGATCAACAGGATCCCAAGGCAGAAGAATTTTTCTTAGTACAGAACAAAATGAAAAGTCTCCCAGGTCTACCTCTTTCTACACAGACACGGCAACCATCCGATTTCTCAATCTTTTCCCCACCTTTCCCCCCTTTCTATTCCACAAAACCGCCATTGTCATCATGGCCCCTTCTCAATGAGCTGTTGGGCACACCTCCCAGACGGGGTGGTGGCCGGGCAGAGGGGCTCCTCACTTTCCAGTAGGCGCGGCCGGGCAGAGGCGCCCCTCACCTCCCGGACAGGGCGGCTGGCCGGGCGGGGGGCTGACCCCCCCACCTCCCTCCCGGACGGGGCGGCTGGCTGGGCGGGGGGCTGATCCCCCCACCTCCCTCCCGGACGGGGCGGCTGGCCGGGCGGGGGGCTGACCCCCCCACCTCCCTCCCGGACAGAGTGGCTGGCCGGGCAAAGTGGCTCCTCACTTCCCAGTAGGGGCGGCCGGGCAGAGGCGCCCCTCACTTCCCGGACGGGGCGGCTGGCCGGGCTGGGGGCTGACCCCCCCACCTCCCTCCCGGACGGGGCGGCTGGCCGGGCGGGGGGCTGACCCCCCCACCTCCCTCCCGGACCAGGTGGCTGCTGGGCGGAGGGGCTCCTCACTTCTCAGACAGGGCGGCTGCCGGGCGGAGGGGCTCCTCACTTCTCAGATGGAGCGGTTGCCAGGCAGAGGGTCTCCTCACTTCTCAGACGGGGCGGCCGGGCAGCGACGCTCCTCACATCCCGGACGGGGCGGCCGGGCAGAGGTGCTCCCCACATCTCAGACGATGGGCGGCAGGGCAGAGACGCTCCTCACATCCCAGACGATGGGTGGCCAGGCGGAGACACTCCTCACTTCCCAGACGGGGTGGCGGCCGGGCAGAGGCTGCAATCTCGGCACTTTGGGAGGCCAAGGCAGGCTGCTGGGAGGTGGAGGTTGTAGCGAGCCGAGATCACGCCACTGCACTCCAGCCTGGGCATCATTGAGCACTGAGTGAACGAGACTCCGTCTGCAATCCCAGCACCTCGGGAGGCCGAGGCTGGTGGATCACTCGCGGTTAGGAGCTGGAGACCAGCCCGGCCAACACAGCGAAACCCCGTCTCCACTAACAAAATACGAAAACCAGTCAGGCGTGGCGGCGCGCGCCTGCAATCGCAGGCACTCGGCAAGCTGAGGCAGGAGAATCAGGCAGGGAGGTTGCAGTGAGCCGAGATGGCAGCAGTACCGTCCAGCTTCGGCTCGGCATCAGAGGGAGACCGTGGAAAGAGAGGGAGAGGGAGACCATGGGGAGAGGGTGAGGGAGAGGGAGCTCTAGGAACATTCTTGCATGTGATTTTGGTACATGTATGCACTTGCTTCTCTTGAGTAAATGATCTAAATGTGGAATTGTCACATCACAGGCTGGCATATGTTTAGTTGTAGTAGAGGCTGAGAAAGTTTCACCCACGTACATGCCAGCAAGGTAACAGAGTGCCAGTCGCTCTGCATCCTCTCCAACACTTGGAATTACCTGTTGTTTCAGTGTTAGCCGTTTTGATGGGTGTGTAGGGATGCCTCACTGTGGTTTATGAAATATAAATGTTCTCTGAAGGAGTGGAGGGACCATCAGCTGACTTCTTCCCTGGGTCTCTGGGGGCTCTGGGACAGACATGGGTGCATCCCTGGGTTGGAACTGGGAAGCTTCTGCTGGCAACTGAGGCCGCTGAGGAGGCAGAGCCTGATGGGAGGGGGCTACTCACCTCTGCCTTCCTTTGTTCACTCGCAGCTGGCCACTGCCCCAACCCAGGCATTTCACTGGGCGCAGTGCGGACAGGCTTCCGCTTTGGTCATGGGGACAAGGTCCGCTATCGCTGCTCCTCGAATCTTGTGCTCACGGGGTCTTCGGAGCGGGAGTGCCAGGGCAACGGGGTCTGGAGTGGAACGGAGCCCATCTGCCGCCGTGAGTAGCTGCCCTGCCCTCCTGAGATTCCTCGGCACACCCGGCCACTGCCCCGGCTGACTCCTGTGTGGCTCTCCCCACAGAACCCTACTCTTATGACTTCCCTGAGGACGTGGCCCCTGCCCTGGGCACTTCCTTCTCCCACATGCTTGGGGCCACCAATCCCACCCAGAAGACAAAGGGTGAGTGTTTGAGGTGGGGTTTCTGGTTGAGCAGGGTGCTGGATCTGGGCCGGAGCAAGGGAGGATGCAACCTTCCTGGAGGCCAGGAGCCTTGGTGGGCTCAGCCACTGAAAGGGAGGGAGGCAGAGAAGCTGGACCTGCTTGGCGAGAGCGCAGGAAGGAGGTGGGGATCTGAATCCTCCCCTTCCACATTTCTCCAGAAAGCCTGGGCCGTAAAATCCAAATCCAGCGCTCTGGTCATCTGAACCTCTACCTGCTCCTGGACTGTTCGCAGAGTGTGTCGGAAAATGACTTTCTCATCTTCAAGGAGAGCGCCTCCCTCATGGTGGACAGGGTCAGGAATCAGGAGTCTGCCTGCAGCAGAGGCCTTCCTGTGCTCACTATCTCTCTCTGTCTCCTTCCCCTCCTCAGAACCCCACTCACAGCCCACCTCCTCCAAGAAGTCTTCTCAGATTATACTCATGCCATGTAGGAATCATGAATTCAATTTATACAATCATAATTTTTATTCCACAAGCACTGTTGGGACACTGTGCTGGGGCTGGGGGACAGCAAAGATGGAAAGGCTGAGGTCTTACTTTCCAGGAATTCATCATCTAGAACAGTGGTCTCCACAGAAAGGTAGTGAGATAACCCACAGGAGTGAAGCAGAAAAATACTGGTGCCCCTGTGGAATAATTTAAATCAGATTAATAATTTAATATTTAATAATTTCCTTTTAAAACTTCAACATTTTGTGCAGGCTTTAAAATGTGTGTGATAGACTGGGCATGGTGGCTAGTGCCTGTAATCCCAACACTTTGGGAGGCCGAGGCAGGTGGATCACTTGAGGTCAGGAGTTTGAGACCAGCCTGACCAACATGATGAAACCCTGTCTATACTAAAAATACAAAATTAGCCACGTGTGATGGCGCACGCCTGTAACCCAGCTACTTGGGAGGATGAGGCAGGAGAATCGCTTGGATCCGGGAGGTGGAGGTTGCAGTGGGCTGAGATCACGCCATTGCACTCCAGCCTGGGCAACTAGAGCAAAACTCTGTCTCAAAAAAATAAATAAAATAAAATAAAATAAAATAAAATATGTGTGATAGAAGTTTGGAAGCCACTGGTTTAAGTTCCTCGCCAGAACTTTGTTTTGTAATTGTGCTTTTCACAATACTTCATGTAACATTATAGATGGTTTTCCCTCCCAGCTACATTTTAAAGAGGGCAGTTTCTGTGCTCTCTTGGGACTCAAAATTAAGTAACTCATTGCACTGCGAGGCGGCAACACACACCAGTTGGAGCAGTGATTGAGAATCATGTGACACATTCAGATCCCACTTCCACCTCCTCCTCATGGTGTGATGGGGGAAGGGGGACAAGGCAACATACCTCAATTTCCTTATCCATAAAATAGGGGTCATCATGCCCCTCACAGGGTGGAGTGAAGAGAGTCTGTCAAAGAGAAAGATGTTCAACAAAGGTTTCTTCCTTAGCTGCTGCTGTTCCTTATTTTTATTATTATTATTATTATTATTTTTGAGATAGAGTCTCTGTCACCCAGGCTGGAGTACAGTGGTGCGATCTCAGCTCACTGCAAACTTTGCCTCCTGGGTTCAAGTGATTCTTCTGCCTCAGCCTCCTGAGTAGCTGGGATTATAGGTGCTTGCCACCATACCAGGCTAATTTTTGTATTTTTAGTAGAGATGGGTTTTGCCATGTTGGTCAGGCTGGTCTCGAACTCCTGACCTCAGGTGATCCACCTGCCTAAAGTGTTGGGATTCAGGCATGAGCCACCGCGCCCAGCCCCTAGCTTCTTCCTAACAGCCATTTCCTAGTGTCTCCCCTGGTCCTTGCCTCTGTCGGTCTCACTCCAGTTTCTCTGCCTCCTCCAGGGCCCTTTGTTTGCTCTCTTACCATCTCCCCTTTGGCTTCAGGGCCCTTTACGCTGCCTCTCACTTGCCCCGCACAGATCTTCAGCTTTGAGATCAATGTGAGCGTTGCCATTATCACCTTTGCCTCAGAGCCCAAAGTCCTCATGTCTGTCCTGAACGACAACTCCCGGGATATGACTGAGGTGATCAGCAGCCTGGAAAATGCCAACTATAAAGGTACGGGTGTCATCACGTGATGGTGATGAGAGAGGAGAAGATGGACCCTCTCAGGGCCTGCAAACAAATTCTGGATGAGTTAAAAAGAGAGTGAGGCCTCTTGGTGGCACCTGAGTCCCACGAGTCTGGGGTAGTTTCAACGTCCAGGGTTATGGTGGGGGAGTCCAGCTGCCCCCAGCTCATAGCTCATTCTGAGATGCTGCAGGTCCAAAGACACTGTGCAGGTCTTCAATTCCTTCCAGTTGCCAAAACCACACTGTCTGGTTTGCATGGCTGCACACTGCCATCTCCCCATGTCATTAGCCACCCATACACCATGTAAAGTGCCTGGTTGGCACTTAGCAAATGGCTGAAGCCACTCAAGGTTTTGGAAACCTCATCTTTGAATCTTGGGACTTTAGTGTGGTCTTGGATTGGGGTTATGCAATGAACATTTCTTTTTTCTTCTTCTTTTTTTTTTTTTTGAGATGGAGTCTCGCACTGTCACCCAGGCTTGAGTGCAGTGGCACGATCTTGGCTCACTGCAACCTCTGCCTCCAGGGTTCAGGCAATTCTCCTGCCTCAGCTTCCCGAGTAGCTGAGATTTCGGGCACCTGCCACCATGCCTGGCTAATTTTTTATATTTTTAGTTGAGATGGGGTTTCACTATGTTGGTCAGGCTGGTCTCGTGATCCTGACTTTGTGATCCGCCCACCTCAGCCTCCCAAAGTGCTGGGATTACAGGCGTGAACCACCTTGCCCGGCCCTATGCAATGAACATTTCTAAGGTGGAAAGGCTTTTAAAGTTTGAACAAGCAATGATGCCACATCTCTATCTGAATGGCAAATGTCTGAGTTTATCAAAACAATCGATAAATTGCATTTCCAGGCCGGGTGCAGTGGCTCATGCCTGTAATCCCAGCACTTTGGGAGGCTGAGATGGGCGGATCACTTGAGGTCAGGAAACCAGCTTGGCCAACATGGTGAAACCCCATCTCTACTAAAAATACAAAAAATTAGCTGGGCATGGTGGCTGGCACCTGTAATCCCAGCTACTTGGGAGACTGAGGCATGAGAATCACTTGAACTGGGGAGGTGGAGGTTGCAGTCAGCCAAGATCACGCCACTATACTCTAGCCTGGGTGGCAGAGCGAGACTCTCTCAAAAAAAAAAAAAAAAATTGCATTTCCAATAATTGGGGGAATAGAGTGATTCCCTACCCCTAGGTGGTAGGTGGGAAGTTTCTAAGAGAGTCCTTCCTTTTGGCATATTCCAGATCATGAAAATGGAACTGGGACTAACACCTATGCAGCCTTAAACAGTGTCTATCTCATGATGAACAACCAAATGCGACTCCTCGGCATGGAAACGATGGCCTGGCAGGAAATCCGACATGCCATCATCCTTCTGACAGATGGTGGGTATCATGGTCTCTGAGTGTGTCTGGAATAGTGGAAGGGGCACCAATATGGGGTCAGAAGCCCTGAATTCTGATTCTCCCTCTGCCTTCCACTTTGGGCCCCAGTTTTGTTTTTGTTTTTAGAGATGGGGCCTTGCTATGTTGCCCAGCTGATCTCAAACTCCTGGCTTCAAGCAATCCTCCTGCCTCAGCCTCCCAAAGTGCTGGGATTACAGGCATGAGCCACCACACCTGGCCCAGTTTCTTATTTATAAAATAGGGCCAGTGTGGTGGCTTATGCCTGTAGTCCCAGCACTTTGGGAGGCCAAAGCGGGTGGATCACTTGAGGTTAGGAGTTTGAGATCAGACTGGCTAACATGGTGAAACCCCGTCTCTACTAAAAATACAAAACCATTAGCTGGGTGTGGTGGCAGGCGCCTGTAATCCCAGCTACTTGGGAGGCTGAGGCAGGAGAATTGCTTGAACCTGGGAGGCAGAGGTTGCAGTGAGCCAAGATCATGCCACTGCACTCCAGCCTGGGTGACAGACCAAGATCCTACCTTGTCTCAAAATAAAATAAATAAATAAATAGAATTAGTGTTGATGATGATGACCGTAACCACAATGACAGCAATGATGATCATGATGGCTGTCCTCCTTTCCTTACACAATTTTTATGGAAAGCTATTTAAGTTGCCTGTGTGAAAGTGCTCTGTGTTAGCTCTTGTTACCATCTGGGAGGTAACTTGGAGATAGATGAGGAAACGTGGCTCTTGAGCAGGAATGTCGAAGGGCACGGATGCAAGGAACAGTCTGTAGTGGATCTGGCCTTGTCATTTGCCTCTTGCTATTGTCCAAATTACACAGTTCCTCCAGGACTTAGTATATAAAATGAGGATACCCACTCTACCTGGGGTTTCATGAGAATTAAATGAGTTAAAGTATAGGAAGCACCTGGCCTGGTGCCTGGAATGTAGAACATTTCAGTAAAAGTGTGTATATATATATATGTATGTATATATATATATGTATACATACATATATATATATATATATATATATATTTATTTTTTTGAGACAGGGTCTCACTCTATTGCCCAGGCTGGACTACAGTGGTGCGAACTCGGCTCACTGCAACCTCTGCCTCCCAGGCTGAAGCAATTCTCGTGCCTCAGCCTCCAGAGTAGCTGGGACTACAGGCATGTGTCACCATGCCTGGCTAATTTTTATTTTTATTTTTTGAGATGGAGTTTCACTCTTGTTGCCCAGGCTGGAGTGCAATGGCGCGATTTTGGCTCACCGCAACCTCCGCCTCCCAGGTTCAAGCGATTCTCCTGCCTCCTGAGTAGCTGGGATTACAGGCATGTGCCACCACACCCGGCTAATTTTGTATATTTAGTAGAGGTGCGGTTTCTCCATGTTGGTCAAGCTGGTCTCAAACTCCCAACCTCAGGTGATCCACCTGCCTTGGCCTCCCAAAGTGCTGGGATTACAGGCATGAGCCACCATGCCCGGCCACACCTGGCTAATTTTTTGTGGTTTTAGTAGAGACAGGGTTTCACCATGTTGCCCAGGCTGGTCTGGAACTCCTGAGCTCAGGCAATCCGCCTTCTTCGGTCTCCCAAAGTGCTAGGATTACAGGTGTGAGCCACTATGCCCAGCCTAAAAGTATATTTTGAAGCTCTCACAGGCAATGTAAATGTTGAGGTTCCCAGGCTAAATGCTTTCCTACTCTTCCAGGGCCTGGGGAAATCCTGATATTACCTAGAAGAATTCTTTATTCTCTTTGTTCTAGGAAAGTCCAATATGGGTGGCTCTCCCAAGACAGCTGTTGACCATATCAGAGAGATCCTGAACATCAACCAGAAGAGGAATGACTATCTGGGTGAGCCCCTGCCACTGCCACCACATTTGTTCTGCTCCTGCAGAGGTCACGAGATCTTCAGCCAGGGATCTCAGCATCTTAGCTATGGTCCAGAGCCACATGGTTTTATTTCTGCGTTGTTCTGTACAAAGGCAACTCATGTTGAAGAGCCTGGGGTCAAACTACTGCCCATGGTCTCAACCTTACCTTCTTTTTTTTTTTTTTTTTTTTTAAGACAGTGTCTCACTGACACTCAGAGTATATTCCTGGAAAGATGTCCACCCATGCCGGCCCAGAAGCTGGTCCAGAAAGTAACGATGTCCACCATGCCACCATGAAGTGCAGTGGTGCAATCATAGCTTACTGCAGCCTCAAATTCCTGGTTTCAAGTGATCCCCTCAACTCAGCTTCCCAAAGTGGTAGGATTACAGGTATGAGCCACTATGCTCAGCCCGTCTTCACAAATTTTTTAAAATTAATTTTTAAATTTTTTTTGAGACAGAATCTTGCCGTGTTGCCCAGGCTGGAGTGCAGTGACTCGATCTCAACTCACTGCAACCTCCACGTCCTGGCTTCAAATGATTCTCCTGCCTCAGCCTCCAGAGTAGCTGGGATTACAGGTGTGTGCCACCATGCCCGGCTCATTTTTGCATTTTTAATAGAGACAGAGTTTCACCATGTTGGCAGTCTGGTGTCAAACCCCTGGCCTCAAGTGATCCGCCTGCCTTGGTCTCCCAAGGTGCTGGGATTACAGATAGGCGTGAGCCACTGTGCCTGGCCAATTTTTAATTTTTTAATTATTATTTTTAATCAACAGCTTTAGACAGAGAACCTTGGTTTCATCTTCAGTGGGCTGTGGCCATGGGCAGTTTCTTCATCTGCAAAAGGGGAGTAGTACTAGGACCCAGCTCACAAGCTGACAGGGGAAGATGCTCAGACAAACACTGCCTGCCTGGCATAGAAAAATGCCCAGCATATGTTAGCCATGACCACGACCGTCGTCGTTATCATCATCATCATCATCATAGCATCTCATGTTTCAGGAAACTTTCCAGGAAGAAGGGACCTCGATTCCCTCTGGGGAATGTCCCTGGTGGTTGCTCTTTCAGCAGCACAGCTGGCTAACTAAGGCTTTGGCAGTTGCAGCTTCTAAAGGAAAAATTCCTCAGGTTCAGACTAAACACAAATTGCACTGACCTTTGATCAGAAAGTAATTTCAGAGAGAGAGATGCTCAGACAGGGAGGGCAGCTGGTTTTGAGCCCCAACCTTTCATCTTCCCCTTAGCTCCTCTCCTTTCCATTCACACTGCCCCCTCCCCCATCACCTGGCCCTCGGGGGTAAGCTGATTCCTCTTTAAAACTCTGGCCCAAGGAAGACAAAATTTAAAGCCCACTCCCTTCCTCCTTAGCATCACTGGACCAAGGTCAAATGCTACAAAAACATTTTATTGAAAATAAGCAGGAAACCAAACGAAAATAGTCAAAGAAAACGCACAAGGCACGATCGTTGTCTAGCTCCAACTGTAACTGTTTCTATCTGGGCCATTGCCAGATTGCCTCCTGGCTGAAGATCTCTTGGTCCACCTAAGCACCTTGCTTTTTACACACAACGCGGGGCTCTCTGAGAACAAAAATGGGCCACAAGGGGTGCAAAGGCTGGGAGAGGAGTAGACTCTGTGGTCTGCCTGAGGGCAGTTCTGACTGGCACCACAGTCGGAGGACAGGCGCGGCCTGTTGTGTGGGTCCAGGGCCTCCAGTGGGAAAACGTGGCTTTAGGCCCTTCTCCCAGATGCTACCTTTTACAGAGGAAGACCAGATCTGAGGTTTAGTTTCCATGTTGTGTTCTGAGTTCTTTCTATTCATTCAGTCATTTAAAAGTACTTACCAAACTACCACAAACCTGGGTGGCTTAGAACACAGAATTTCTTTTTCTTACAGTTCTGGAGGTTAGAAGTCTGAAATCAAGGTGTTGGCAGGGCCGTGCTTCCTCAGAAGGCTCTTGGGAAGAATTCTTTCCTGCCTTTTCCGGCTGCCGGCAGCTCCAACCTTGGCTTGCGGCAGCATAAACCCATTCTCTGCCTCTGTCTTCAACTCGCCTTCTTTTCTGTGTGTGCCTCTGTGTCATTACATGCTGTTCTCTTATATAGATAGGAGACCCACTACCTGTGTCTTTGTGTCCAAATTCCTTTCTTCTTTTTCTGTTCATTTGTTTGAGACAGAGTCTCGCTCTGTCACCCAGAAGCCCAGGCTGCAGTGCAGTGGCGGGATCCCGGCTCACTGTAACCTCTGCCTCCTGGGTTCAGGTGATTCTCGTGCCTCAGTCTCCCAAGAAGCTGGGATTACAGGCATGTGCCACCATGCCCGGCAAATTTTTGTATTTTTAGTAGAGACATGGTCTCGCCATGTTGGCTAGGCTGGTCTTAAACTCCTGGCCTCAAGGCGATCTGCCTGCCTTCGCCTCAAAAAAACTGCCGGGATTACAGGCATGAGTCACCACCATGCCCAGCCAGTTCACTTTTTTTTTTTTTTTTTTTTTTTTTTTTTTTTGAGATGGAGTCTTGCTCTGTTGCCCAGGCTGGAGTGCAGTGGTGCAATCTCGGCTCACTGCAACATCCGCCTCCCGGTTCAAGCGATTCTCCTGCCTCAGCCTCCTGAGTAGCTGGGATTACAGGTGTGTGCCAGCATGTCTGGCTAATTTTTGTATTTTTAGTAGAGACAGGGTTTCACCATGTTGGTCAGGCTGGTCTTGAATTCCTGACCTCGTGATCTGCCCGCCTCAGCCTCCCAGAGTGCTGGGATTACAGGTGTGAGCCACCGTGCCCGGCTCACCTCTTCTTTTTTTTTTTTTGAGACGGGGTTTTGCTCTTGTTGCCCAGGCTGGAGTGCAATGGCGCGATCTTGGCTCACCACAACCACCGCCTCCTGGTGATTACAGGTGTGAGCCACCACGCCTGGCTCTGGCTTACCTCTTCTTATAAGGACCTCAGTCATTGGATTAGAGCTCACCCTAATCTAGTATGACTTAATCTTAACTTGATTACATCTGCAAAGACCCTTTTTCCAAATAAAGTCACAGATACTGGGGATTAGGACTCAAACACATCTTTCTGGGGGACACAATTCCACCATTACAGGGAATAAACAGGATAAGAAAACCATAGAACCCAGCAGGTGGTAGGTGACACAAGCTAAGGGGTGTTGCCATGTTGCCCAGGCTGGTCTCAAACTTCTGGCTTCAAGGGATCCTCCCACCTTGCCTCCCAAAGTGGGGATGAAAGTTTGTCTGGGGCATTGCAGTTTTAGACAGGAAGACCAGGGAAGGCCTCACTGAGAAGGTGACATTTGAGCCAAGACTTAAAAAGGTACGAAAGTGAGCCATGTGGAAGTCTTGGGGGGAGGAGTGAACTAGGCAGAGGCACAGCTGGGCAAAGGGCCTGAGGTGTGACCATGCCTATGGATTTGAGGAACTTCAAAGAGGCTGTGTGCTGCAGGAGAGTGAAGGGCAGGGAGTGGCAGGAAATGAAGGCAGACAGGTAGCAGTGGGGAGGACGCAGGGGTCCAGCTCATGTAGGTCTTGATTGGACACAGTGAGTTTCAGATGACAGCCTCCTGTCTCATGGGGTAGCCCCAAAGCCACAGGAGTCTGGTGATTTCCCTCTTCCCCACCAGACATCTATGCCATCGGGGTGGGCAAGCTGGATGTGGACTGGAGAGAACTGAATGAGCTAGGGTCCAAGAAGGATGGTGAGAGGCATGCCTTCATTCTGCAGGACACAAAGGCTCTGCACCAGGTCTTTGAACATATGCTGGGTGAGTGAGCTTTGCCCTCCTTGGTGTGGGGAGGATGGTGAGGAGCCCGCCAAAGGCCCGTTTTGGGAACCTGGACACAGTGCCCCTCACTTGCCTCCTTCCCCATCTGATCCTCACACCCACAGATGTCTCCAAGCTCACAGACACCATCTGCGGGGTGGGGAACATGTCAGCAAACGCCTCTGACCAGGAGAGGACACCCTGGCATGTCACTATTAAGGTACCAGGAAGGAGGGGCAGGGCTTGGATTCCAGAGGTAAAAGCGGCCATGGGCCAGACATACTGCAATCTCTGAAAATCACCTGTTCCCCTGCAGCCCAAGAGCCAAGAGACCTGCCGGGGGGCCCTCATCTCCGACCAATGGGTCCTGACAGCAGCTCATTGCTTCCGCGATGGCAACGACCACTCCCTGTGGAGGGTCAATGTGGGTAAGGCAGGGGATGCACCAGCCTCCTGATCCTGAAGCCACAGATCCTACCACCTCACCCAGCCTCTGGCCCCTGCAGGAGCCCTGGTCTAGCCTAATCTAGTGTATCATTTCCAGGAGACCCCAAATCCCAGTGGGGCAAAGAATTCCTTATTGAGAAGGCGGTGATCTCCCCAGGGTTTGATGTCTTTGCCAAAAAGAACCAGGGAATCCTGGAGTTCTATGGTGATGACATAGCTCTGCTGAAGCTGGCCCAGAAAGTAAAGATGTCCACCCATGCCAGGTGCCTGGAGTCTGGGATGGGAGGGTGCCCTGCAGGGAAGAGTGCTCTGGAGATCCCTGGAAGAGATACTGGGGACAGGCTGGTGTGACCCTTGCTCTTCTCCCCAGGCCCATCTGCCTTCCCTGCACGATGGAGGCCAATCTGGCTCTGCGGAGACCTCAAGGCAGCACCTGTAGGGACCATGGTGAGTGCTGGGACTTATGGTGCTTGAGAGCTGGGGCCGGGGTTTGGGGGTGATAACAAGGACTAGGCTGCAGTCCCCAAGCCAGGAACCTGGATTCTGGGTAAAAGGACCAGCACCAACATCCCCTTCTCTTGACTATAGAGAATGAACTGCTGAACAAACAGAGTGTTCCTGCTCATTTTGTCGCCTTGAATGGGAGCAAACTGAACATTAACCTTAAGATGGGAGTGGAGGTGAGGGTCTCAGGTTGGGGATGCTGGGATCCCCCTGTGACAGCTCCCAGAATGTCTCTCTTCCTTCTCCAGGTCTGGCTGCTTTCTCTCTCTGACGCGGGTCACCCCTCCTCCCAAGCCTCACAAACCTGCTAGGTGTCCCTGGGTCTGCTTATTCTTTTTTTGTTGTTATTGAGATGGAGTCTTGCTCTGTCTCCCAGGCTGGAGTGCAGTGGCACGACCTCAGCTCACTGCAACTTCTGCCTCCTGGGTTCAAGCGATTCTCCTACTTCAGCCTCCCGAGTAGCTGAGATTACAGGTGCCCACCACCACACCAGCTAATTTTTGTATTTTTAGTAGAGACGGGATTTCGCCATGTTGGCCAGGATGGTCTTGAACTCCTGACCTCAAGTGATCTGCCTGCCTCAACCTCCCAAAGTGCTGAGATTACAGGCGTGAGCCACTGCACCCACCCGGGTCTGCTTATTCTACCCTTCTCTCTGGTTCCACCCCTGCTGCAGTGGACAAGCTGTGCCGAGGTTGTCTCCCAAGAAAAAACCATGTTCCCCAACTTGACAGATGTCAGGGAGGTGGTGACAGACCAGTTCCTATGCAGTGGGACCCAGGAGGATGAGAGTCCCTGCAAGGGTGAGTCCCTCACCATGCCTGGATTCCCAAGGGGAAGGCCACCTGTGTCTCTGTGGCCAGCATGCATGCCAGAACACCAGTCCACTGCCCTAGATGACACTGTCTCCTGTCACCCTTTGCTGGCAGGAGAATCTGGGGGAGCAGTTTTCCTTGAGCGGAGATTCAGGTTTTTTCAGGTGAGAAGGTAGAAGCTTGCAGGACCCAGGGGTTACAGGATCTCAGCCTTGTTGGGGGGATGAGGGAGGCCTTTGAGGGATCTAGGGAGGTTGGGGCTTACAGTTGGGGCTGTGGCAGCCTCCCAGCCAGTTCTCTCCTTTTCTCCAGGTGGGTCTGGTGAGCTGGGGTCTTTACAACCCCTGCCTTGGCTCTGCTGACAAAAACTCCCGCAAAAGGGCCCCTCGTAGCAAGGTCCCGCCGCCACGAGACTTTCACATCAATCTCTTCCGCATGCAGCCCTGGCTGAGGCAGCACCTGGGGGATGTCCTGAATTTTTTACCCCTCTAGCCATGGCCACTGAGCCCTCTGCTGCCCTGCCAGAATCTGCCGCCCCTCCATCTTCTACCTCTGAATGGCCACCCTTAGACCCTGTGATCCATCCTCTCTCCTAGCTGAGTAAATCCGGGTCTCTAGGATGCCAGAGGCAGCGCACACAAGCTGGGAAATCCTCAGGGCTCCTACCAGCAGGACTGCCTCGCTGCCCCACCTCCCGCTCCTTGGCCTGTCCCCAGATTCCTTCCCTGGTTGACTTGACTCATGCTTGTTTCACTTTCACATGGAATTTCCCAGTTATGAAATTAATAAAAATCAATGGTTTCCACATCTCTCAGTGCCTCTATCTGGAGGCCAGGTAGGGCTGGCCTTGGGGGAGGGGGAGGCCAGAATGACTCCAAGAGCTACAGGAAGGCAGGTCAGAGACCCCACTGGACAAACAGTGGCTGGACTCTGCACCATAACACACAATCAACAGGGGAGTGAGCTGGATCCTTATTTCTGGTCCCTAAGTGGGTGGTTTGGGCTTACTGGGGAGGAGCTAAGGCCGGAGAGGAGGTACTGAAGGGGAGAGTCCTGGACCTTTGGCAGCAAAGGGTGGGACTTCTGCAGTTTCTGTTTCCTTGACTGGCAGCTCAGCGGGGCCCTCCCGCTTGGATGTTCCGGGAAAGTGATGTGGGTAGGACAGGCGGGGCGAGCCGCAGGTGCCAGAACACAGATTGTATAAAAGGCTGGGGGCTGGTGGGGAGCAGGGGAAGGGAATGTGACCAGGTCTAGGTCTGGAGTTTCAGCTTGGACACTGAGCCAAGCAGACAAGCAAAGCAAGCCAGGACACACCATCCTGCCCCAGGCCCAGCTTCTCTCCTGCCTTCCAACGCCATGGGGAGCAATCTCAGCCCCCAACTCTGCCTGATGCCCTTTATCTTGGGCCTCTTGTCTGGAGGTAAGCGAGGGTAACCTTCCCTTCCTGCTGTCTCCAGCATCCCTCCTTGGCCTTTTGGGGCCAGGCTTCATCAGCCTTTCTCTTCAGGTGTGACCACCACTCCATGGTCTTTGGCCCAGCCCCAGGGATCCTGCTCTCTGGAGGGGGTAGAGATCAAAGGCGGCTCCTTCCGACTTCTCCAAGAGGGCCAGGCACTGGAGTACGTGTGTCCTTCTGGCTTCTACCCGTACCCTGTGCAGACACGTACCTGCAGATCTACGGGGTCCTGGAGCACCCTGAAGACTCAAGACCAAAAGACTGTCAGGAAGGCAGAGTGCAGAGGTTTGAGGGCAATGAGTGTGGGCAGTGGCCTAAGGCAGAAACAGGGCAGGCGGCAGCAAGGTCAGGACTAGGATGAGACTAGGCAGGGTGACAAGGTGGGCTGACCGGGAGTAGGAGCAGTTTTAGGGTGGCAGGCGGAAAGGGGGCAAGAAAAAGCGGAGTTAACCCTTACTAAGCATTTACCCTGGGCTTCCAGGCAGCCCTGGAAGTCAAGAGAACACTCAGAAATGGGGAGGGAGAAGCAGTGGAAATCCATATGGGTTGAGGAGTAGGTAAGATGCTGCTTCTGCGGGACTGGGAATGCGCTGTTTCTCAGTGACATGGTCTCCGAGACCAGGAGGGATACACCTAAGGCAGCCTTTCCCTCTTGATGACTTCTACTTGTCCCCCCTTCTCAAAGCAATCCACTGTCCAAGACCACACGACTTCGAGAACGGGGAATACTGGCCCCGGTCTCCCTACTACAATGTGAGTGATGAGATCTCTTTCCACTGCTATGACGGTTACACTCTCCGGGGCTCTGCCAATCGCACCTGCCAAGTGAATGGCCGGTGGAGTGGGCAGACAGCGATCTGTGACAACGGAGGTGAGAAGCATCCCCTCCCCCTACATTGCTGTCTCCCTGACGGCGCCCAGCCCGAGGAGTGGGCACTCGGCTCCGGACACTGTAACTCTTGCTCTCTACCTTGCTCACGGGGCCTCAGGCTTCAGTGCTTACCTCGATGTCTCATACCTCTGCAGCGGGGTACTGCTCCAACCCGGGCATCCCCATTGGCACAAGGAAGGTGGGCAGCCAGTACCGCCTTGAAGACAGCGTCACCTACCACTGCAGCCGGGGGCTTACCCTGCGTGGCTCCCAGCGGCGAACGTGTCAGGAAGGTGGCTCTTGGAGCGGGACGGAGCCTTCCTGCCAAGGTGACCTTTGACCTGTACCCCCAGGTCAGATCCTGGTCTTCCATCCTACTGTCTTCTCTCCCCACCTCAACCCTGCTCTTTCCTCACTTTGTTTAAACCTCCCTGTACAACTATCTCACTTCTGAGCCTTTTATACCCTGGAAACCCATGATCCCCCGTCTCTTTGGTCACTGTATCCCTGACACTCCCAGACATTTGACCTCATTTCTGACTCTCCCAGACTCCTTCATGTACGACACCCCTCAAGAGGTGGCCGAAGCTTTCCTGTCTTCCCTGACAGAGACCATAGAAGGAGTCGATGCTGAGGATGGGCACGGCCCAGGTTTGAAGACAGAGAAGGGAGGCAGGGCAGGGAACTGGGGGAAAATGGAGAAGGGACAGAACTGTTAATGCTGGAGCCTGAGCCACTCTCCTGGCACCCAGGGGAACAACAGAAGCGGAAGATCGTCCTGGACCCTTCAGGCTCCATGAACATCTACCTGGTGCTAGATGGATCAGACAGCATTGGGGCCAGCAACTTCACAGGAGCCAAAAAGTGTCTAGTCAACTTAATTGAGAAGGTGGAATCCTCCTATCCCTGAACTCGGGGGAATGGAATCTCGCTGATCTTCCAGGACTAGCTCCCTGATCATTCCAGCCCCTCTGAACAACAGGGCCCCAGGAAAATCTCCAGGTCCTATTCTGTCCTCCTTCCCTTTTACTTGAAGCAGTTTCTTGACTGGTAATTCCTCCATGAACCTCAGCCCTTGAGCCTCTTACTGAGGGCCTCCCTGTCCCAGCAAAGTCGCTGAAATCTCCCAATCACAGTATTCTATTTTCAATGCCATGGCGCCTTGTTCTCCTCACCCACAGGTGGCAAGTTATGGTGTGAAGCCAAGATATGGTCTAGTGACATATGCCACATACCCCAAAATTTGGGTCAAAGTGTCTGAAGCAGACAGCAGTAATGCAGACTGGGTCACGAAGCAGCTCAATGAAATCAATTATGAAGGTCAGAGGTTAGGGAATGGTGGGAGGTTCACTTTGGGGTCAGGAGGTTCAGGGTGGAGGGGGTCATGAGACTACCTTGAGGGCGACAGGGAGGACCACTTTGTAGTCAAAGGTTGAACAGCAGGATCGTTGGGCAATGGAGGTTAGTGGGAACCTGTTGGGGGCTGGAAGGGCCACTTTGTGGTCAAAGGGAAGTCCGTGTAATGATGATTAACTTAAAAAGTTGAAAGATGTGGGATTTCAGTTGCAGATTGGTCTCTGGGGTTAAAAGATGGCTTGGAAGACCAGGTGAGGTGATGGTCTCTTCCCTCTCCACAGACCACAAGTTGAAGTCAGGGACTAACACCAAGAAGGCCCTCCAGGCAGTGTACAGCATGATGAGCTGGCCAGATGACGTCCCTCCTGAAGGCTGGAACCGCACCCGCCATGTCATCATCCTCATGACTGATGGTCAGAAGGGACCTCTCTCCTGTCCCAGCCTCCCCACCTTCTCAGACCAGCATGTGGCCCTTAAGTCCACTTGTAACACTATACCCATGGTTGGGGCCCTGAATGTGACTCATAGCTGGCTGTTCATCTCTCCTGTGACCCTTCATAAGGAATTCTTCCTAAGCCCTGTGATCAACTATCTCTAACCCTTCCTCAACTTGCTCACCCTGCCACGTGTATCCCTGCCTTTAGCCAGTTTATCTTCCTTATCTCCTACCCTCATGGTCCTGTCTCTTCTGCAGGATTGCACAACATGGGCGGGGACCCAATTACTGTCATTGATGAGATCCGGGACTTGCTATACATTGGCAAGGATCGCAAAAACCCAAGGGAGGATTATCTGGGTGAGTAACCTGCCTAGGACCCAGCACCCCACTTCCTCAGGGCTTGGACCCTCATCCTTCCTTTTTATCCCTCAGATGTCTATGTGTTTGGGGTCGGGCCTTTGGTGAACCAAGTGAACATCAATGCTTTGGCTTCCAAGAAAGACAATGAGCAACATGTGTTCAAAGTCAAGGATATGGAAAACCTGGAAGATGTTTTCTACCAAATGATCGGTAGGGAGATACAAGGGAATAAAGAACACAACTCTCCTCAGGTTCCCCTGAAGTAATTCATTCTTCCTCTACACCTGAAGCTCTAGTTGCCTGGAAAGCCTTCTTCATTCCTCCTTCTCTACCTCAGTGTCACTATTCTTGTTTCCTGGCACTGTTCACTTAACCTTAGAATCACAGAGCTCTGAGCACTTCAGAGATCTTTCTATAGTCCTACATTTGACACATGTGGAAACAGAAGCCAAAGGAGGTCAAGGGACAGCAAGTTAGCAACAAGGGTGGGCTTGAAAACAGCCAGGCCTCTGACAGCTTGATCCCAAGTTCTTTCCCTTTTCAGTCCACCATAGCAGTTTTCTCCTAACACGAGGAAACAAATACCCGTGGTCTTTCCCTTTCTCCTTTTGGGCCTTTGCTCCCCATAGACTCCTACCCAAAAGGCTGCTGCCATTTGGGAATGAAGTGTTCCGAGTTTTCAGCACATTCTCCTTCTCTGCCAGATGAAAGCCAGTCTCTGAGTCTCTGTGGCATGGTTTGGGAACACAGGAAGGGTACCGATTACCACAAGCAACCATGGCAGGCCAAGATCTCAGTCATTGTAAGCACAGAATCCCAGTAGTGGGGACTTGGGGGAGGTGAGGTCAAGGTGAAATGGGAGTAGGGGAAGGAAAAAATGGCCATAAGAGATGGTGGTTTGTGAAAGTTGAGCTTTCCCTCTCTACTGTTGTGTCCCCAGCGCCCTTCAAAGGGACACGAGAGCTGTATGGGGGCTGTGGTGTCTGAGTAC
Source organism: Homo sapiens (assembly GCF_000001405.40). Lineage (NCBI taxonomy): Eukaryota > Metazoa > Chordata > Mammalia > Primates > Hominidae > Homo > Homo sapiens. Next base: position 3,255,316 of record NT_167246.2, read on the forward strand.
TTTGTGCTGACAGCAGCACATTGTTTCACTGTGGATGACAAGGAACACTCAATCAAGGTCAGCGTAGGTAAGGATGCAACTGAAGGTCCTGGGCTGCACCTATGCTCTCCAGGCAACACCTCCCACTTTCTACAGATCCTACACTCCACCCATCCTCAATGCAGCCCCATTCCTTGCACCCCAGACCAGTCAGGGATGGGGGAAGACGTGAAGTTAGGAATGACACGGGGCCAGAGGCAGGAAGCTGCCCACAAAGAGGTGGTACCTACTCTCCTACTTCAGGAGGGGAGAAGCGGGACCTGGAGATAGAAGTAGTCCTATTTCACCCCAACTACAACATTAATGGGAAAAAAGAAGCAGGAATTCCTGAATTTTATGACTATGACGTTGCCCTGATCAAGCTCAAGAATAAGCTGAAATATGGCC